>NC_000022.11:29770170-29921685 GCF_000001405.40 Homo sapiens | reverse complement strand
TGAATGGGGAGTTAGTGTTTAGTAAGTACAGAGTTTCAATTGAGAAAGATGAAAAAGTTCTAGAGAAGGATGGTGGTAACCAATGCACAACAAATATGAAAGTATTTAAATGCCAGAAAACTGTACAATTCAAAAAGACACAGTAAAATAGGAATTTCAGAAAATAAATCAATCATCCATTAAAAAGTAATAAGATCCTAAGCTCTCCCAAAAGAAACTCCTTGACGTGGTTTAGATATTTGTCCCCTCCAAATCTCATGGTGAAATGTGATCCCAAACGTTGGAGGTGGCGCCTAGTGGAAGATATCTGGTTATGAGGGCACATCCCTAATATGGCTTGGTGCCCTCCCCTCGGTAATAAGCAAGTTCTCGCTCTATTAGTTCACGTGAGAACTGGTTGTTTAAAAAGAGCCTAGCACCTTCTCCTCTCTCTTTTGCTGCCCCTCGCCACATGACACGCCTGTTCCCCCTTCACCTTCCAACGTGACTGGAAGCTTCCTGAGGCCCCACTAGAAGCAGATACTGGTGCCATGCTTCTTGTACAGCCTGCAGAACTTTGAGCCAAATAAAACTATTTTCTTTATAAACTACCCAGCCTTGGGTATTCCTTCACAGCAATACAAAACAAACACATTCCCCAAAGTATTAACAGGATGTCCATCAAGATACTGTAGCATTATTACAGGACCACCCCCGCCACCCCCACCACCCCCTAAAAAAAACCTGGCATTTTTGTCATAGCTCTGACATATTAGATGTGTAAGCTTTTTAAAAGTCTTTAGAATGAACAAAATTTAGTAAAACCTGAAGAAATTAAATAACCATTAGGTATCTTCAAAGAATATCAAAAGGTACAAGAAAATTAGGAGAAGCAGCAAAATCTTTTATATTTGGTCAGTATCAATCTTTTATATTTGGTCAGTATCAATCTTTAGTCCACATGCAATTTATACACTGAAAGCTTGAGTAATTTCTGCTCTAGAGAATTACTTATACATAAAGTTAAAAAAAAAGCTTTATCCATAATAGTTCTACAACACTGGTCTTGTCATGATTTCCTGTGCCTAAGATTATTTTCCTACCATCCAAAAAGTTTAAATAGCAACCATATCCTTTTTGTCATGTAAATATAAAATATGAACATCCAAACAAATATAACATAACATTCAAATATTCTAAATACCACAAATTCTTTCAGGTACCAAAATTGAATACACACACAAGGTTAGCAGGATTCTGTTTAATTTTAGCCATAAGTTTCCTGGTGGGCTTAGTTTTACATACTCCAGCAAAATGTGTTCTGTAGCCTATTACAGATGGTTTAACTAGCAGAAATGAGTCATTTAATTAGCATAATATACAGTGGTCTAATAATTTTTTTTAGCTAATAAGGAATAACCAACGAGTTCATGAGTTATCTAATTTTTAAAGCAAATTGCCTAATTTTTTTTGGGTTTTTTGTTTTTTTTTTTGAGACAGAGTCTTGCTCTGTCGCCCAGGCTGCAGTGCAGTGGCGCGATCTCAGCTAACTGCAACCTCTGCCTCCCAGGTTCAAGCGATTCTCCTGCCTCAGCCTCCCGAGTAGCTGGGACTACAGGCACGTGCCAACATGCCCAGCTAATTTTCATATTTTTAGTAAAGACAGGGTTTCACCATGTTGGCCAGGATGGTCTCGATCTCTTGACCTCATGATCTGCCCGCCTCAGCCTCCCAAAGTGCTGGGAACCTAAATCTTAATAATAAAAGCATGTAAGTCATCAGCCAGTATCCTAATAAATTTAGATTCTGAAATACATGTAAAAATACTTATACTGTGTTGAGTTTAACCTAGAAAAATATTTCCTAAAGATTAAAACCAGGCTGGGTGCAGTGGCTCATGCCTCTAATCCCAACACTATGGGAAGGTGAGGCAGGAGGACTGCTTGAGCTCAGGAGTTCAAGACTAGCCTGAGCAATACAGTGAGACTCCATCTCTACAAAACTTTTTTTTTTTTTATTAGCTAGGCATGGTGGCACATGCCTGTAGTCTTAGCTACTGAGGAGGCTGAAGTGGGAAGATCGCTTGAGCCCAGGAGGCTGAGGCTGCAATGAGCCATGATTACATGACTGCACTCCATCCTGGGCTATAGAGACCATGTCTCAAAAAAAACATGCCCAAAAGTGAATATAAATTAACAGTCCAAAAATATTTATTAAACTTCAAGGATCACATATCTTATCTGGTATTTATCACTGTTTTACGACAGTAATTTCAACCTCTTTGATGAGAAAAGCTTTCCTTTCTCAGCTAGCTTTTGCTTTCAATGCACATAAAATTGGACAGTTTAAACCACTTCACCAGATACGTGAGAAATCCATGGTAAGACAAAATGTCATTTACTTTTAAGTATGTATATAGTTATGGTATGATGAATAAAAATATGCCTTGCTAAAGAATTGAGAGATGAGACCTAGAGAAAACTTTTTCCCCCAGAAAAAAGGAAGAACAAGAAGCAAAAAACGAGGTAACTTAATGACCCAGTGACTGCTAAGAAAACTACAAAACCATGCAGTCATATATTTTCCGAAAAAACATTATGAGTGATAATTTTATATTTTTGCCTTACACTAAAATGTCCCTTGTAGGGAGAATAAGAAATAGGCTGGGGTGAAATGGCTCAGGCCTGTAATTCCAGCATTTTGGGAGGCCAAGGCAGGAGATCACTTGAGGCCATGAGTTAAAAATCACCCTGAGCAACAAAGTGAGATCTCAGCAATAAAAAATAAATAAATAGGAAATAAGACAATTCAACTAACCATACAAACAGACAATCCTTTCTTTGTATTCTTAAAGGCAAATAATATTTTGTCCTTCTACCTTTTAGAATCCACAACCAGTAGTAACGTATTTCATTAAAATTCCCTTTTAACATATGAAATGATATGAGACAGATTATGATAAAACCCCTAGTGAATCCAAAGAAAGCAGAAGACTATCTTAACCATTCTAAATATTTTATTCATTTGCCTCCAAAAAGCAACATATATTTAATACATGAGTAATTCTCCAACCCTTACTCCTTTTCCTTCATAGTCTACAAACTGAGTAACAACGGAGATCTTGTTCACCACTACATCTACAGAGCCTATAACCTAACAGTGCCTAGTAAATAGGTGGCACTTAAATATTTATTGTATTATAAGCCTAAGTCTCACAAAGGAAAACGGCAAATATATGAAAAAGAAAGATGTTTCAAGGCAGAAGGAATGCTTCAGAGAGCTACTACCTGCTATCAAAAAGAGAAACTAAAACATGCAAAATTAATTAAAACTTATGGAAGCTATTTTAAATCAGATGGCCACTTTAGAGATGCCTGCTTAACACCATGGACTTATTTTTCAGTACAAGAAGAAAAGTGCTATTCAGGCATACACTGGAATATTAGTGTAAGAAAGCACTATACACCTCTAAAGAAAGTTCTAAACAGTGCCAAGTACAGATGATGCCCCTCAACACTTCCCTTCCAGGTTCATCTCATGCCAAATAACACCAGCAGTTACTAATTTTTTCTAAATTAAACACTTAAACTCACCGCATTAGCAATATGAGGCAACCAGCAGTTACTAATTTTTTCTAAATTAAACACTTAAACTCACTGCATTAGCAATATGAGGCATTTCGTGATTTCAGAGGGGAAAATGTATTTTACAATTTCAAAATAAATTAGCAACTTCTCTGTATCAAGTAATCCCTTGACAGCTATTCAAATCCCATTTAATAGTTAGGAAATGCTATTTACTCATAAGATATTCAAGCTACAAAAAGATCTTACTTATCCATACATATCATGGACACAGTATGTCAATTTATGTATAAATGACTTTTGACAAGTATAAAAGGAAACCAAAAAGGTATTAAATGCACAATATTTTTATAAGCTTCTATTGTTTACCTAGTAACAATGATGGCAATAGAATGTGGAAAAACTATTTGTCCTCATTTGTCAATAAATACTGGCACTATTCCTTTGGTGATGCCAAATATGGCACAAAGACTTGTTCCAGTGAAATAAACCTACTGGTGAACAATAAAGGCTCAAATTAGAAGGCAGATAAAAATTACACTTTTTTTTAAAATTGCACATTATGATTAGAAAACATACTAGGTATGTATTGCAACTTTTAATGCAAATCCCAGTGCAATTTTTTTGTTTGTTTGTTTTTAAGAGACGCGTTCTCCCTGTGTTGCCCAGGCTGGCCTTGGGCCTTGAACTCCTGGGGTGAAGCAATACTCCCACCTCAGCCTGCCAAGTAGTGAGTAGCTGGGACTACAGGCATGAGCCACTTGGCTCCTCTGGTGCAATTTTTAAAATCTTATACGAAGGATCTTTTCTTGGGTTATCAGGGGAGGTGAAGGGGTTAATATTACTAAGAATACAAAACCGAAGTCTATAGTCCTAAACAATGACCCAACTAAAAACAGACACCTTTGGCTACAGATTTCTTTAAACAATAGATATGAAAATTTAATCCCTCCCTTACATGAAAAATAGCCATTTACAATCACTTTTCCTCTTCTAATGTTAAAGCAGGTTTTCAAAAGCACAGTCCTCCTGTTTGAATTATTTCCACATTCTAGTAAATACCAGCTGGTGGGAGCCAATACAGAATCCTTTGCTGAAGATATTGGGATATTGTAGAACAAGAACAGAATAATCCATAATTAGTGACATTGTATCTTAAAGCTCAAACTACTGCAGTTACAGGGGGCAGTGAGATAGTGTTGGCAATCAACTGTAGGCATTAGGGAGCAATTGGTAAAGTAGCAGATCCAGGGTACTATTAACAATCCCATTACAAAGGCTAAACATTTATTTATTTACACAAAATCCTGTAATGAACAATTAGAACATGAATATCAGCTAAGCCAGGACAAATGGTGCAAAACACTGCCCGCAGAATGCAATGTATTAATTTATGAAGTAGGCTATAATAGCCTTTATCATGCAAACCTTGTATTTATAAAAAGTTAAATTAGTCTTACCATGATGGAGTAACTTGAGACTAGCCCTTCCACCAAAACTACTAAAAAACTGGACAAGATACATGAAACAGCTATTCTTGGATGCTGAACAATAGCACCGAACTGTGATCCCTGAGAGAAGACAAGCAAATTACCTGTGCCTTATGATTGTCAAAGCTTTGTATTTTGAGGCAGTTTCCAGACCCCAGCCAGAAAGGGAGAAACTGAGAATCTAGGGAGGGTGGAAACCCAATCAGAAACTTAAATGTGTCTCCGAAGGCTGAAGCAGCTGTAATTTGTGAGGCACTACTACATCTTTACTAAATTAGCTGCACATGTATTAGGTGAGATTTCACGAGGGTAGGCAAAGAACAACCACTGGGTAACAAGCAACTACTTGGGAACTATAAACACAACTACCAGAGTTTACACAGGCATTCTCCTTCTGACTGATTAAAGAGACCTTACTAAACTCAGGCCATTCAGCTGAAACCTTTATAAACACAGCTCAACTAGCCCGAGGGCAAAGGCTCCTCTACAGGCCCAGATGAACAAAGCTTTAAATAAAAACAAGCCTAACGTTGAATTATGGATTTTCTAACATATCCAAAAGTAAAATGTATGACAATAGCAAAAAGAACAGAAGATAGGAAAATGGAGACATAACGCCATAGGATTCTTATACATTAAGTGGTATATAATTTGAAGGCAGAATGTCGTAAGTTAAAGGTATCTACTATAGAGCAGCCACAGAGAAAAATAGAACAAATAAGTATATCTCCACTAAAAGAGGGGATAAGATGAAATATTACAAAATCTTTCATTCAAAAAATGACAGAAAAGAATAGACGGGATGAATAGAAAACAAATGGCAAAATGGTAGACTGAAACCTAACCATATGGATACTCAAACTCAGAGTAAACCCATCATTTAATAACAACAATTAAAAGGAGACTGTCAGCCGGGCGCAGTGGCTCACACCTGTAATCCCAGCACTTTAGGAGGCCAAGGCGGGTGGATCACCTAAAGTCAGGAGTTTGAGACCAGCTTTGCCAACACAGGGGTAAATATACAAAACATAAAATATACAAAAATTAGCCGGGCATGGTGGCAGGCGCCTGTAATCCCAGCTCCTCAGGAGGCTGAGGCAGGAGAATCACTTGAACCCGGGAGGCTGAGGTTGCAGTGAGCCAAGATGGCATCACTGCACTCCAGCCTGGGTGGCAGAGCGAGACTCCATCTCAATGAATGAACAAATGAATGAATGAAGGAGACCGTCAGCCTAAATAAAAAAGCGAGACCTAACTATGTGCTAATCACAAGAAATGCATTGCAAATATATACACAGACTAAAAGTAAAAGGATGGGAAAAAATTATGCAAATACTGTGGTAATAAAGCTACAAGAGTTATATTCATGTTAAAGTAGCCTGGGGGATGGCAAATATTATCAAAATAAAGTGGGACAAGTCATTATAAAAGAATGAATTTACTGAGAAGACATAACAATCCTAAATATGTATGTACCTAAAAACAGAACTTCAAAATATATGAGACAGAACTGGTAGAACCAAATATTTGTCTTTTCAAAGACACAAAACATTCACCACAATAGACCATATGCCTTACCACAAAACAAATCTCAAATTCTGAAATCCTGAAAAAGACTGAAATCCTATAGAGTATGTTCTCTGACCACAATGGAATTAAATTAGTAACAGTAAAATATCTACAGGAAGTTAAACATCAAACTTTTATAATTCATAGGCCAAAAAAGACATTAAAAGAGAAATTAGAAAATATTCAAACTGAATAGTAGTACACAATATGTCATTTTGTGAGCTGCAACTGAAGCACTGCTCAGAGGAAAACTCAGATATTCACAGTATATACAAAAAGGCAACCCTACACTTACTTCTCTCAGTATTAATTTGAAGTGTTTCACAGACCCAAATGTCAAACAAAGCTATAAACTTCCAGAATAAAATTTAAGAAAATATTAGTGACCTTAGGTTTAGAGACAATTCCTTAGATAGGCTTTTAAAAAGATCATTAACTCAAAAAGAAAAAAAAAATAACTGACTACATAAAGATTAAGTTTTTGCTCTCTGAAAGACACTGTTAAGAATGAAAAGGCAAGCCACAAATTACAAGAACATATTTGCAAAACATGTAATTTACAAAACCTGTTATGAAGGACTCATATTCAGAATACATTATGAACTCACAATAAACAAAAAACAACCTATTTTAATGAGCAAAAGATTTGAACAGACACTTCACCAAAGACATATAAATGGCAAATAAGCACATGAAAAGATAATCATCATTAGTCATCTGGAAATTACAAACTAAAACCATGATGATGTATTGCTACAGACCCACTAGAATGACTTAAGTTAGTAAGAATGACAATACCAAGCATCAACAAGGATTTGGAGCCCTGGAATTCTCATGCATTGCCAGTGGGAATGCAAAATAGGCCGTTACTTTAAAAACTATAAACACACTTACCCTACAATCCTGCAATTTCTACTCCTGGATTTTTAACCAAGAGAAATGAAAATATATGTCCACACAAAGATCTATGTTGCAAATATTCAGAGGAGATTTATTCGTAATAGCCAAAAACTGGGCCGGGCGTGGTGGCTCATGCCTGTAATCCCAGCACTTTGGGAGGTTGAGGTGGGCGGATCACGAGCTCAAGAGATCAGACCAACCCGGCTAACAAGGTGAAACTCCGTCTCTACTAAAAATACAAAAAATTAGCCGAGTGCGGTGGCATGAGCCTGTAGTCCCAGCTCCTCAGCAGGCTGAGGCAGGAGAATAGCTTTAACCCAGGAGGCGGAGGTTGCAGTTAGCCGAGATCTCGCCACCGCACTCCAGCCTGGGCGACAGAGCGAGACTCCGTCTCAAATAAATAAATAAATAAACCCAAAACCTGGAAAAAAAAAAAACCCCAATATCCATTAACTAGTAAATAAAGGAATTGTGGAATATCCATACAATGGACTACTACTTAGCAATTAAATGGAACAACTACTGCTTTTAACAATATGAATGATTCTCAAAGCATTATACTAAAATGAAAGAGGACAGGCACAAAATAGTATATCCTGTATGATTTCATTTATATTACATCCTAGAAAAAAGGCAAAATTTGTGCAAATTATACCTCTCTAAGGCTGATTTTTTAACCATGTGGCAGCAAAAAGAGTCAAAGGTATACATATGTGCTCTGGTTAAGACCAGTATTTTCCCTAAATCTTAGTTACAGAAGGCTCTGAGAAGTTAATGACTTGCCCCAAATTAGTAACCAGTGGAAACATGTTTTGGGATATAGATCACTTTACTGTAAATATAAACTTGGAATGTACGCTTTAGGAATGATTAAGAAGATCTGTATAACTAAGACCCTTTGTTTCTGTTTTTGTTTTGAGATGGGAGTCTCGCTGTTACCCAGGCTAGAGTGCAGTGGTGCAATCATGGCTCACTGCTGTCTTGATGTCCTGGGCTCAAGCAACTCTCCTACCTCAGCTTCCTGAGTAGCTGGGACTATAGGTGAGCACCACCACAGCTGGATAATAATTATTATTATTATTTTGTAGAGGGGGTCTTGCAATGTTGCCCAGGCTGGTCTCAAACTCCAGGCCTCACAAGTGATTCTCTCGCCTCGGCTTCCCAGAATGCTGGGATTACAGGTGTAAGCCACTGTGCCTGGCTGACTAAGACCCTTTCGATGGAGCTCCAGAACTATGTTTAACTCACAGTTAAGTATTAAAGGAAGTTTCAATTTACATAGGCAAGCCAGCTAAAACAGTTCAGGCCAAGAGTTGGATGATGTAGCACAGACATCTCAAATACTTAGCTTACCACAATCTTGGCCAATGGTCAAGTTTATTTTGGGACTGGAATATTTAAAAGTCCTTCATATTCTCTGCAGCTCCTACACATTGATCCTATTAAGGCCTTCCAATTCTGAATCTTTTAGGTACTCACCTTTCATTCTCACCTAATGCATTACCTCCAGGCAAATGGGGTGGTAAAGAAGAACTGGACTTTGAAAGGCAACATAATGACAACAGCTTATTAAAAAGCAAGACAAGGCCAGGTTTGGTGGCCCATGCCTGCAATCCTCCTAGCACTTTGGGAGGCTGACACAGGAGGATCGCTTGAGTTCTAGATAAGCCTGGGCAACATAGCGAGAACCCATCTCTACTAAAAATTTTAAAATTAGCCAGGCATGGTAGCGCACACCTGTAATCCCAGCTACTTGGGAGGCAGGAGGATCCTTTGAGCCCAGGAGTTTGAGGCAGCAGTGTGCTATGATCATGCCACTGCACTCCAGCCTGGGTGACAAAGCGAGACTTTGTCATTCATTTCTTCATTCATTCATTCATAAACATAAATAAATAATAAAAAGACAGGAAAACTGATCTTAATACCTAATTAGCCACATCAACTTTAACCTTAGCATAAAAAAAACAAATTAAGACTTTTCTTCATCTCTACCATCAACTCATTTTGCAGAAGTCTAACATTTAATCCACAAGTGGGCAATCCATGAAACCTAAAGCAATTACTACAAGTTCACTAATGCTTACTATACATACCTCACCTCTTCATTTCCTCTTGTCTGACTTTTCACCGAGTTTTTCTCCCCTCTCTTTCTGACCCTTTTATATGTTTATCATAGCTACTTTGTAAGAAAACAATAAAGAGGATATTTATGCCTAATCAGTGAAAAGTACTGACTTTATATCTTTGCTATTGTACTTATTATGGTGATAAGCTCTTTAAGGGAAACTTCTACACTGTATAGGCATAAATAATGGGAAAGGAATACTGATTAATTCTATACCCATTATGAACACTTTTCCCTCTAAGCCATTGAAAAATGGAAGATACTTTACTATTTTCACTCCACTGATCCTGAATATTATCTCATATATAAACTGAGTGTACCTATATATATTGTTTACCCTGAGATTAAAGTCCAAACTATTTTTTAAATACGTAGAAAGCCCACTGGAGAAATGGTCAGACTAACATTAAATATACTGGTCAAAATTCTCAGTTGTAAGTAAAAAAAAAAAAACCCAAATCAAGCTATTTTACACAAAATTAAAAAAAAATTTTTTGAGACACAGTCTCACTCTGTCACCCAGGCTGGACTGCAGTATCGTGATCATGGCTCACTGCAACCTTGACCTTCCAGACTCAAGGGACCCTCCCATGTCAGCATCCCAAGTAGTTGGGACCACAGGCGTGTGCTACCACACCTGGCTAATTTTTTTATTTTTTGTAGAGACAAGTCTCCCTACGTTGCCCAGGCTGGTCTCCAACTCCTGGGCTCAAGCAATCGTCTTGCCTCAGCCTCCCAAAGTGCTGTGATTACAGGTGCGAGCCACCACACCCAGCCCAAAAATCAGAATTTAATGGCTCACAGGATAATGAGATGCTGCGTAGAAACAAGGAAAAAAACTTCAGGACCAGGGCCTCAAAGGCACAGTGCCATGGGATCCATCTCTATCTCATGCTCCTCTTTACTTGTTTGGCCTCATTCTGGTTTCATTCTCTTCCACTGCAGACAGACCTCCTGCCTGGGGTAGGGCAGGAATGAAAGAATCTCAAAAACAAGAAATCCAGTGCATGTTCTATTCCTTTTACTAGTATAATTAAGTGTTGGACGCAGATCCCTAATGTTCAAAAAATATGATTTAAGGATACAACTTAGGAATTATCAATAATCCTACTAAACATAAAAGTTAAGAAAATCTAACCCCTGGCACTGAACCACTAACTTATAATTACAGAAAGTCCTGTCACACATGCTCTGGTTTCTCTTCATAATGAATAAATCTTTTTGCCTTTTACTAAAGATTTCCGTGGAGAGTTGAGGCCTTGCTTAGGCAGGGGTAAATATGAGAAAGAAAAAAAAAGTCTTAACAGGTTAAAAAAAAAAAAAAGGAAAAGAGGCATAAAAGTCAATTTAATGGGCTTATATATATGACAGTTTAGCAAGAAAGAGGGCAATCTCATTTTAAAAATTTACTCAATAACAGCACAAATTTGAAACTAAAGTGTGAGACTCCTACTTTTGGTTATCATATAGTCGCCACAGTAATGACTAAAATTCATGTAGCACTCACATAGCTAACTCTCCCTGAAGAAATGCTTCCTTTCTCAAGAGGTTTAAGTGGAAAGGAATATGAAATTTCTTAACACATCTATGTTCGAAATAACTTTGTTTCAGGAGTAATCACTCTGAAACAACTGAGTGTTAAATAAAAACCAGCAACCCCCAAATCTTTGCTGATCCATCACTTTAACTGATCAGTTTACTACCAACTACAGTATTTACCTTTCCAGTAACACTTCTAGTTCCATACAAACTGTTTTGTTCTACATAACTGCACTGGATTTGGATGTACACTCAGATTTTAAACGATGACCTACATTCAGTGGTGTGTGGGTACCTATAAAACACAGAAAAGGGCCCACTTTCTTTTTTTTTTTTGAGATGGAGTCTCGTTCTGTCACCCAGGCTGGAGTGCAGTGGCACAATCTCGGCTCACTGCAAGCTCCGCCTCCTGGGTTCACGCCATTCTCCTGCCTCAGCCTCCCGAGTAGCGAGTAGTGGGGACTACAGGCACCCACCACCATGCCCGGCTAATTTTTTTGTATTTTTTAGTAGAGACGGGGTTTCACCGTGTTAGCCAGGATGGTCTCGGTCTCCTCATCTCATGATCCGCCCGCCTCGGCCTCCCAAAGTGCTGGGATTACAGGCGTGAGCCACCGCACCCGGCCAAAAGGGCCCACTTTCTACTAATTTCTTTCAAGCTCGATCTGAGGCAAGAAAATGATACTCTGTTTTTAACAAGAAGCAAATTTATGTTTATAATAAAGAATTACATATATGGTGATATTTATTATTCCTTAATACAAAGTTCTGTTATATGCTGAGAGACATACTATTTATGAAAAAATTATAAAAATGAAGAGTTACAATTAATGGAGGGGAGAAGTCCAGGTCCTCGCTTATAATTTTAACAGCCAACATGTATAGAGCCCTCTTTTAAGTGCTTCACCATTTATTAGTCATTAATCTTACTCAACTCTACAAAGTAGGTAATATTATTATCCTCATTTTATAAAGAGGGAAACTAAGGAGCAGAGAGATAAGGTAACTTGCCCAAGTCATAAAGCTAGCTAATAAATAATTTACAGATGCAAGTTTAAACCATATAAGAAATTAAGTAGGAACAACACATATACAGCAAATACAAAAACAAGAGAAAAGTCAAAGCACTCAATCTCAAAAAGGCAGAAACGCAACGTAAATTAAGAAACTAATTTTTTTCTCTCAGTGCAATGAAACCAGGTCTGTATCACTGGGGGTTGGGGGAGTAGGGCAAATAATCTGTGTTCTCAAATTATACAAAAATCTCAAAAAAAGTAACATATTTCTTGTGGGCCAGGCACAGTAAGCCCAGGAGTTTGAGACTAGTCTGGGCAATACGGCAATACTCAGTCTCTACAAGAAATAAAAACTCAGCTGAGCATGGTGGAGGCTAAATTGGGAGGATGGCTTGGGCCTGGGAAGGTCGTGGGAGCCTGGAAGGTCGAGGCTGCAGTAGACTGTGCCACTGCACTCCAGCCTGGGCAACAGAGTGAGAATTTGTCTCAAAAAAAAAAAAAGAAAAGAAAAGAAAAGAAAAATTAACATATTTCTTAAATAAATAAAAGCACTCTTAACTTTTGGGAAGCACATTCTGGAGAAAACATGTATTAAATAAATGACAGCACTTTGGAAATTAACTTTTTATTCCTAAATATGCTTTAAAGAATACAGCAAATAGCTAAAAGCAATCCTTCATAATTTTACCATGTTTAGCACTTTTTACTGAGAAATAGAAAGTTCTACAATAATCAAAGTGGATCAATCTATCACTGTGGTATACACAGTCACTTAGTCTTATCTCTGAAAAATATTTTCAGATTATGTAAATGTTTTATCTCTGAGCTACCCTTCAACAAAATGAAAAAGACATATTCCTGCTATTTCCGCAAAGGGCCAACAATCAATTTGTGGTACTGATAAAAGATTAATTTGCCACCTAGAACAACGTATAGCCATGAAATTCAATTTAGAAACAGAGCTGCAATCACTCTAATCCACCAAAACAATCAACAGTTAACTATTTCAGAGTACTGAAGCAAATCCACTTTCATTCTATTTTTACTCCTAAAGTGTGCAATGCTAGTAAGGAAAGGGTCTGTTCCTCAAAACTGAAATGATTCTGGTCTTGCTTTGGTTTCTTCTGGTCTGTTCTAGCAGGAAGCAGTAGCTACAGTGTCTGACATGAACACGATACTTGTGCTTACTACTAAACTATGTATATTCCCTTAGCTCTAGAAAACTAATATGGCATTGAGCTTCTTGAGTTACCCTCAGTCACTATAAGGCTGTTCTCATCCAGGTCCGTAGAAGGAAAGCTTCCACCACGGTTACTCCCATTCTGAATCCTCAACTTGTTTCCCACCCCCAGGTTTTACAAGGTTGTTAGGAAAAAAAATCTTACTTGCATCCGACTGTGGAAGTCCTTCCTACCTATATACCATTACTCTTAGGAGGTACAAGCAAGATCTCATCTAGATTTCTTGGCTGCCTTCTACCAATGTAATCATAGCACGAAGCTTTGAAATGTGAGATCCTGAGACAGGTCACTCCTTTCAAAGTGTCTATCATTACTCCTTGGTGAGTCAGCTGCTGGACTGCTGCCAGTGTGCTCTTTGTTGGCTTTATCATGAAACCATATTCCTGTAGAGCTGGAATGGTGGCCAAAACACTGCATTTCAGAAGACTCCTTCAAAGTGTGTATCAAAAAAAAAGATACAGATACACATCCAAGCAAGCCATTCACTTGTTTTAGTAAGAGAGGGAATGAATAATACAAAGGAGGTTAAGCAGTTTTGTTAAAAGATTCTCTTATGTGCAAGCATCCAAAAATATCCTGTAAAATCACTTGATAATTTTCTTTGAGTAGATTTTATGCAAATGGGTACATTTAAAATTTTTTATGCCCTTGAGGAAAGAAAACTCAACTTTTCTGTCTCAGGTAAGAACTCTGAAGTTAAGTAAAAGCTTGAGATACTCAAGGATTCTCTGACGGTCCATCAACTATCGGTGAAGGGGGAAAACATCTACTCTTTAGTAAGTAGCTTTAGTAATGGGTTTTAGAGGAACCCATCAATAAAAAAGTTTGTAATTTTTTTTTTTAAGACAGAGTCTTGCTCTGTCACCCAGCTGGAGTGCAGTGGTGCTATCTCGGCTCACTGCAAGCTCTGCCTCCCGGGTTCACACCATTCTCCTGCCTCAGCCTCCCAAGTAGCTGGGACTACAGGCGCCCACGACGACGCCCGGCTAATTTTTTGTATTTTTTTAGTAGGGACGGGGTTTCATTCTGTTAGCCAGGATGGTCTCGATCTCCTGACCTCGTGATCCACCCGCCTTGGCCTCCCAAAGTGCTGGGATTACAGGTGTGACCCATCACGCCTGGCCAAATTTTGTAATTTTTAGGATGTTTTTGGATTTTGTTTGTTTGAGACCGAGTCTCACTCTGTCACCTGGGCTGGAGTGCAGTGGCGCAATCTCAGCTCACTGCAACCTCCGTCTCCTGGTTTAAGCAATTCTCCTGCCTCGGCCTCCCGAGTAGCTGGGATTACAGATGCACGCCACCATGCCCGGCTAATTTTTGTGTTTTTAGTAGAGACGGGGTTTCACCATGTTGGCCAGGCTGGTCTCGAACTCCTGGCCTCAAGTGATCCATCTGCCTCTGTCTCCCAAAGTGCTGGGATACAGGCATGAGCCACCACACCAGCCAAATTTTTAATTTTTATAAGGTGAAACAATGTTCAGAATGGGGAAAGGGGGAGTAGATATAGGGCAACTCAAGTAGTTCCACAGTACAGGAATGAAAAAGCTCCTAGCTCTGAATAAAGTAATGGATAGTAATAATGCTTTCGGGGTATAAAAAGTGAGACAGGCCAGGCACGGTGGTTCATCCCTATAATCCCAGCACTTCGGGAGGCCGAGGGAGATGGAACACTTGAGGTCAGGAGTTGGAGACCAGCCTGGCCAACATGGTGAAACTCCGTCTCTATTAAAAATACAAAAAAAAAAAATTAGCCAGGTATGGTGGCACACGCCTGTAATCCCAGCTACTAGGGAGGCTGAGGCAGGAGAATTGCTTGAACCCGGGAGGAGATTGCAGTGAGCCAAGATCGCACCACTGCACTCCAGCCTGGGCAACAAAGCAAGACTCCGTCATAGATAGATAGATAGACAGATAGATAGATAGATAGATAGATAGATAGATAGATAGATAGATAGACAGACAGACAGACAGACAGACAGACAGACAGACAGACAGACGGATGGATGGATAAATGTGAGACAAATATATTTGTGTACAGTACTGGTCTCTTTAGAAGACACCAAAGTTTTTCCTATGAACTTTGAAAACAAGCCTGGCACAGTGGTACACACCTAGTCCCGGTTACCTGGCAGGCTGACACAGGAGGACTGCTTGATCCAAGGAGTTAAAGGCCAGCGTAGAAAACACAATGAGAACCCCACCTCAAAAGAAAAACAAAAAAAATGCCATCCTGAGCAAACTCTGGATGAATCTAGACTTTCAGATGCTCAGAACTTGTTTGACATTTGTCAGTAGAAGGATATATAATGACTTTGAAAAAAGTTAATATGTAACAGCTAATATATAAAAGGTTAACAGGTTTAGGAAACTTGCCATAATTTAAAATATGCTTTTGCAAGTGTTTAGTGCACAAATTTAAAATATGCACCAAAACCCCATAAAATTGTTTTAATATCAAAAATGGGGAAAGCTGTAAAAATACAGTAATAAAAGATGCAAGTTCAAAAACACCGAATACATAAAATACATAATTCCACATAGCAGCTATTATATTAAAGGCAAGATATTCCCCAACAAGTAAATTCAAACAACTTCATTTAATTTAAAATGCTTGAAAGAACATTACCTTACATCAAGGAAGTACCTTATCCAAAGGAAAGGACTCAAGCACCAAAAGATACAACCCTGTAACTTATACTTCTGAATTCCCTAGCCCTTAAGACTTACACACATGGTAAAAGGGCTCAACTATGAAACTTTATCAACTATGAAATTTTCATAGTATCAACTACTATATATCAACTATGATACAAGTATCAACTATGAAATTTTAAGGAGAGGGACCACCCTTTTATTTACACAGTTGTCCTTCGAACAACAGGGGTTTGAACTGCACAGGTCCACTCATGTGCGGATTTCTTTTAACCAAATGTGGATGGAAAAAGTATTCTCGGGATGTGAAACCTATATATACAGCAGGCCAAGGGCTAGCTTTTCATATAGGCAGGTTCCACAGGGGCATCTGGGGGACTTAAGTATGCCCAGATGTTGGTGTATGTGGGGGTCCTGGAACCCATCCCCCAAGTATACCAAGGATAAACTGTAGTAGGATATATGCTGACTTTCTGTATTGTTCTCTGTATAACCACTAAAAATGAAAAATGTATGATAAGCTTCTTACTCCATTCTGATGTAACAATAGCTCTAAGAACCATAACAGAGGATAGCAAATTGGTATGTTTAAATCTTGGTAGAAATGTAAATTTCCATATGCCATCTGTGATGGTGATTAAAAAGTTTTCCTCCAACACTGGTCCTCCTACTCAACCCTGTCCTAAAGCTCCAACTGTCTAACACACTTGTAACTTCATTGTCTAACTGCTACCATGTTTAAAACCAAGACACACACACACACACACACAACACACACACATACCCCTCTGAACATTGTCCATCTTCCTGCTAAAATCAACTCCCCTTGCTACTTATTCTATCATCTTTGAATATTTTTGCTTCTTACATTTATTGTCTTTCAACTCTTAACACAGATCCTTAGGGGAAAGAGGATGTGTAACTGTAGTGTTGTTATCACTTTAATAACAGTAGAAACAACCACAATTAGCAAATACTGAGTGCTTACTATTGGTTATCTAATATTATAAGCACTTGCTGAAATCTCACAAGAGCCCTAAGAGGTATTATTGTTAGCCCCATTTTAAACCTGAGACTCAGAGAAGTTAAAGAACTTCCCCAAGATCACAGACAGGTAAGTGGTAGAACCACAATTCAAACCCAAGCCTGAGCTCTTATTCACGACAGTGAACTGCAAAAGTGGAAACAGCATCCAACCTGATGTCTGGACTCAAGTACTATTTCAGCTACTCACTAGCAGTGCAACCTCAGGTAAGTCCTGACAGCTATGAAACACAATTTACTTACTTGTAAAGTAGAAGTAACAATATACAGCCTGCCGTGCCTACTTCACAAGGTAGCAATGAAGATTAAGTGTGCAACTGATAAAGCTAATTAAAATTGTATTTGTATTACTAATCCCACAGTTGCTACCTCCATACTCCCACGGTGTTAATTTTGGCAACCCTATCCTGGAATTCTAGACTTGGATCACCAACATTGTTGTCTCAGTTAAAGTAAAGAGCTATAAGTCTTGTCCACATCATAGAGCCACATATAGAAGACCAACGGTTAACCTGCAATTCCCATTACTGGCAAAACTGGGCAGGTATTTCCAGGCAGGTATTTTAATGTGAAACTGCCAAAATTAATGATAGCCTACATATGAGATACCTGTTCACCAAAAATAATGATAGCCTACAAATGAGATACCTGTTCACCAAATGACCATATTTCAAGTGTAATATCCCTTGGCTCCAAACACAATATTCAGTTTTCTAAATATTCAACATCAGAAGGAACATACATTAATGAGAAAAGCTCTGTAGTTCTAGTACCTCTGTACACCTAGCACCTCAATTATATAATACATTTAAACTGAGGGCTTAAACTAAGATTCCATACTACACAAAAGAAATGGCTGGGCAAGGTGGCTCACACCTGTGATCCCAGCACATTGGGAGGCTGAGGCAGGCGGATCTCTCGAGCCCAGGAATTCAAGATGGGCAACATGACGCAACCCCATCTCTACGTACATGCAAAAAAAACCACAAAAATTAGCCAGGCATGTTGGCATGTTCCTACAGTCCCAGCACCCGGGAGGCTAAGTTGGGAGGATCACCTGAGCCCAGGAGGTTGAGGCTGCAGTGAGCCATGACTGCACCACTGCACTCCAGCCTGGATGACAGTAAGACCCTGTCTCAAAAAAAAAAAAAAAAAAGAAAGAAAAAGAAAAAAAGAAAATCAAAAACACTGCTATTCTCTGAAACGTCAAACCACCTATGGCCTCTGTAGTCTGACTCAGGGTTGGAACTGGAACCTCAAAAAATTAACTTGCAAAAATGGCCTGCAAACTCTTTTCTTTTTTATTTTTATTTTATTTTTTTGAGATGGAGTCTCATTCTGTCACCCAAGCTGGAGTGGACTGGCACAATCTTGGCTCACTACAGCCTCCGCCTCCTGGGTTCAAGTGATTCTCATGCCTCACCCTCCAAGTAGCTGGGATTACAAGGCACATGCCATTACGCCCAGATAATTTTTGTGTTTTTAGTAGAGACAAGATTTCACCATGTTGCCTAGGCGGTGGCCTCGAACTCCTGACCTCAAGTGATCTGCCCTCCTCGGCCTCCCAAAGTGCTAGGATTCCAGGCGTGAGCCACCACATCCAGCCTGCAATCTCTTTTCTAAGGTAAAAAGGTCTCATCTATTTCTCTTGGCCTCAGATTGCTGCAAAAAGAAAGCTCACTACATAGGAACAAAGAAGATAATTTATTAACATAGGTAATCAACCTAAGTTTTATGTCTTATTCACATGAAACTCTGCTTATCAATATTAATACCTCCAGCCATCTTGGGGGAGGAGAGGGGAGGAGAGGAGAAGAAAAAGGAATTCTGTAGTGCTAAAATTTTTCCCAGTTATTTTTTACTTATAAACTTTCATAACCAGCCAGGCACGGTGACTCACGCCTGTAATCCCAGCACTTTGGGAGGCCAAGACAGGCGGATCACAAGGTCAGGAGTTCAAGACCAGCCTGGCCAATATCGTGAAACCCCATCTCTACTAAAAATACAAAAAAATTAGCCAGGCGTGGTGGTGGGCGCCTGTAGTCCCAGGTACTCAGGAGGCTGAGACAGGAGATCGCGCCACTGCACTCCAGCCTGGGCGACAGAGCGAGACTCCGTCTCAAAAAAAAAAAAAAAAAAACTTTCATAACCAATTATATAACCATTCTACTACTTAGAGGAACAAAAAAGTCAATGATTGACAATTTAAAAGCTACTAAAAACATAAAATATGAAATTATGCACTAAGGAGTTTTATATATAAATTTACCCATTTAACAAGTATGTGTGTGTACTTCTTTAATTTAAAAAAATTCTAATGACTTACAGTTTATATTATAAGATTATTTATACAAACAGATTCTTCTCATTCCAGAGTGGGCTTTTTTAGGGTAGTTTACCAAGCAATTTATAATGTTCTGTGAAAATCACCAGCTTTTTCAGGTTCTCTAATAAAGTTATAAAAGTTCTAGGCACCATATTTTTTTAAACCATAAAAAAAATACATGGGCACATGTGTATGTATGCATGCATCAATGCTTTTATGGCACTTTTATTTGTAATTACCAAAAACTGGAAACAACCCAAATGAACTGGGGAATGAACACACAAGTTGTTGTACATCCATACAATGGAATGCTCCTAAACAACAGAAAGTAATTACTGATACATAAAAACATGGATGAATCTCAAAATACATTAGGTTAAATAAAAGATGTCAGTCTCAAGAAGTCACATACTGAGTCAAGCAGGAGGATCCCTTGAGACCAGGAGCTTGCGGCCAGCATAGGCAATATAACAAGACCTCCCATTTCTATCAAACAAACAAAAATTAAAACAAAAAGGCTAAATACTGCATGATTTTGTTTACATGGAAATTCTGAAAAAAAGACAATACAACAGAGAAAAAACAGATCAGTGGTTGCCAGAGACTAGAGGTGAGGAAATGGGCTGACTATAGAAAGGGTCATGAGGAAATTTTTTGAGGAACTACTCTGTATCTTGATCATGGTGCTTGCAAAACTACATGTGTTTCCCAACCTCACAGAACCATACTCAAACATACCTTAATAAAAATAATTTTCAACCATACATATGATAGAGTCTTAATTATTGCTCTAATACCAAGACCAAATAGATGCTGCTTAAACCACCGAAGCAAGAACACTAAACTTTGGTCTCATCTGCCTCCAAGTTTGAAAACTCCCTTCCATTAACATTTCGCCTAAAAATTAAACAATATTTGTAAATTAGTCACAAAATCCTTTAATATTAAAATATATATATATATTCTTAAAGAAAACTACCTAGTGCTTACATCCTAGTCATTTTAGGAGAAAATTAAGGGAATAAAGCCCAAGTAATAAATATTAACATCAATCTTTTCCAGAATCATCATGGTCAAAACAAATGAGACTCTTCTCCTAATTTTGGTTCAAAATACCAAAATTTTTACTTCAAAAACTCTCTAACAGATTATTATAAAATCTTAACATTTGCCTAAAAGTCTTTACGTATTTTCACATAACTAGGCAGTATAACAAAAAAAGAGCACAGGCTTAGGCCGGACGCAGTGGCTCACACCTGTAATCCCAGCATTTTGGGAGGCCAAGGCAAACCACTTGAGTCCAGTGGCAAAACCCCATCTCTATAAAATACACAAAAAAATTAGCCAGGTGTGGTGGCACACACCTGTAGTCCCAGCTACTTAGGGGGATGAGGCAGGAGTATGACTTGAGCCTTGAAGGCAGAGGCTGCAGTGAGCCAAGATCACGCCACTCACTCCACCCTGGGTGACAGAGTGAGACCCTTTCTCAAAAAAAATTTTTTTTAAAGCACAGGCTCAAGAACTCAACCCACCTAGGCAAATTATTTAACTTAATTTTGCCTCAATTGTCTCATCAGTAAAATTGGGATAATTTTACCTACCTCTGGGAATAATCCTAGACTATTAAATGAGTTAATACATGTATTATAATAAATCACAGGGTAGTGCCTGGCATAGTTAACTAAGCCTCAATACTAACCTAATATAAATGAATGATATCAATAATCACCAGCTGTGTAGTCTTTGTATCCCACAATTCTGCTCTGTAAGGTAAGTGGCCTAAATTCAATGGCCTAAATAAAGACCTATTTAGCAACAGTACTCTATATTCCTATTATTTTACGTGAATTTCACCTACCTAATTCAGTTTGCAAAAGAAACGTTAAGTATTATACCACTTATACAAAAAAAAGTGAAGTCTAAATAAGTTAAATGACTTACCCAAAGAAACAATAATGTGAAGGCAGAGCCAAGATGAGGTTTTGGTGTTCTGAGATTCCTTAAAACTTTGTCCTCTCCAGAATTTTTAGCCCTCCATCAACTCCTTCCCTCCTAACAAAGACACAGGTATAATGTACCCCAAAAAACCTCCAATTTAATAATTTTAAAATTTCATTAAGCTATACATTTGATTTGTGCACTCTTCTGTATGTTTGTTTTATATCATAATAAAAAGGTTAAATGGCTTATCATTAAGTGTATTCACATATGAAGAGAAGTAGTGGAAAAGTTACATCAAAAGCTAAAAGACGACGAACTCAGCAGATTACGTTCTTTAAAATTTTGCGAGGCAAAAGTTTTTAACTGAGGTATAATATACATACAAAGAAGTGCACCTTTCCTAAGTCTACTACTCGATGATTCTCATAAACTGAACACAACCATGAAATCAAGATCCAGATCAAGACACAGAACATTAGCAGCATACCTACAATCTCCCCTGTCCTCACCACCAAAGATAACCATTATTCTGATTTCCATTCCCATCTGTTAGTTTTGTCCATTTTTTAAGCTTTACAGAAATGGAGTGCTCGCTTCAGCAGCACATATACTAAAATTGGAACAATACAGAGAAGATTAGCGTGGTCCCTGCACAAGAATGACATGCAAATTGGTGAGGCTTTCCATCTTTCTTAATTATTACAGTAGTATTATTTAATATCCAAAAACAATGATCAATATGAAGAATGGGATGAACTAATCAATACTGTGATTGAAGACAACAGCATTATTTGCCTGGGAAACTAAAGACAAAACAACTAGAAAACTATTAAAACTGTTGAAGGAGTCAATTTGCTACTTACAGAATAAACATATTCTACTCACAATAACATATACTATATACTATGGAATTAAAATCATATTTCTGGCTGGGCACAATGGCTCACGTCTATAATCCCAGCACTCTGGGAGGCCAAGGTGGGAGGATCACTGGAGCTCAGGAGTTCAAGACCAGCAGGGGCAACATAGCAAAATTTCCAAAGAATAGGACTATCTACATGTGGACAAGTATGAGTGTTTCCTGATTAAATAGCCTAAGTGTCATCTCCATGAATGCATGTATACAACTTTGTTGGATTGAAGGCTCCTCATCTCAACCCCACTGGAGGTAAATGCTATAAATGTAAGTAATTCAAGAAAGTCTCATCCAAATTAACTCAAGTAAAACAAAAACAAAACAAGAAAAATTTGTCCCATCAAGGTAATGTTATAAAATGTGTAACTACTGTCTTTATCAGTGACTCACTTATAAAGTAGATCTGAACTATGGATTACTACTACTTACTTTCATTAAAAAAAAAAAAAAAGATGTGAGAAATTTTTGTAAATTTTCTTTACCCAAAGGTTCGCTGCAGCCATAAAAAAGAATAAAATCATGTCCTTTGCAGCAACATGATGCAGCTGGAGATCATCATTCTAAACTAAACATTGGGTAAACATGGAAGTAAACATGGGATTCAGGGAACTAACAGAGAGGAGAGGATGGGAAGGCGTGAAGGTTCAAAACTACCTACTAGGAGCTGGGTACGGTGGCTCACGCCTATAATACCAGCACTTTGGGAGGCTGAGGTGGGTGGACTGCTTGAGTCCAGGAGTTCGAGGCAGCCTGGGTAACAGGACAAAACCCAGTCTCTACAAAAAATACAAAAATTAGCAGGGAATGGTGGCCCAACACTGTAGTCTCGGCTACCCAGGAGGCTAAGCTGGGAGGATGGACTGAGCCCGAGCGGTCAAAACTGCCGTGACCAGTGATCGCAACATTGCACTCCAGCCTGAGGGACAGAGACCTACCCTGTCTCAAAAAACTTATAACTATCTAGTGGGTGCTATGCTTACCACCTGGGTGATGTGATCAATTGTACCCCAAACCTCATGCAATATACCCATGTAACAAACCTGCACACTATTATTATTGGGAGAAAAAGAGCTAATTTAGAACAATATATATAGCTTGACCCAATTTGAGGAAAAAGTTTACCTTTGTATATTTGTTGAAAACAACTATCAATAAAGGACTAAAATTGTGTACTATTCATTCATATGACTGAATACTATACAGCTATTAAAATTAATGAAGTAAGGCAAGTGCAGTGGCTCACACTTGTAATCCCAGCTACTCGAGAGGCTGAGGCTCGAGAATCACTTGAACCTGGGAGACGGAAGTTGCAGTGAGCCAAGATTGTGCCTCTGTACTACAGCCTGGGTGACAGAGCAAGATTGTGTTTCAAAAAATAATAATAATAATACACATATATCAACATGTCATTTTTCAAATTATAGAAAGTATGTACTAAAATATCACATAAATTTGAAACCCAATACTACATAAAATATATATAGATATTTGTAGGAAGAATATAAGTGCATGAGCTAAAAAGATAAATAACTTCTGCATACGAAAATACGATCTAAGAGGATGACAAAAGGGACTCCAACCGTATGCATATTTTAATTTTTAAAAGCAAATACAGGCCAGGCACAGTGGCTCACCCCTGTAATCCCAGCCCTTTGGGGGGCCAAGATGGGCAGATCACTTGAGGCCAGTTCAAAACCAGCCTGGCCAACATAGTGAAACCCTGTCTCTACTAAAAATAAGAAAATTAGCCGGGCATGGTGACGAGCTCCTGTAATCCCAGCTACTCAAAAGGCCGAGGCACAAGAATCACTTGAACCTGGGAGATGGAGGGTGCAGTGAGCAGAGATTGCGCCACTGCACATCAGTATGGGCAACAGAGTGAGAGCCCGTCTCAAAAATAAATAAATAAATAAATAAATAAAAACATACTTAAATACACCTTTGAAGCAAATCTGACAAGATGTCAGCATCTATTAAATCTACTGAATGGGCTGGACATGGTGGCTTACGCCTGTAATCCCAGCACTTTGGGAGGCCAAGGCAGGCCAATCACAAGGTCAAGAGATCAAGACCATCCTGGCCAACATGGTGAAACCCTGTCTCTACTAAAAATACAAAAATTAGCTGGGCATGGTGGCGTGCACCTGTAGTCCCAGCTACTCGGGAAGCTGAGGTAGAGAATCGCTTGAACCCAGGAGGCAGAGGTTACAGTGAGCCAATTCCACCACTGCACTCCAGCCTGGCGACAGAGCGAGACTCCAACTCAAAAAAAAAAGAAAAAAAAGAAAAAGAAAAAGAAAAAAAATCTACTGAATTAGTACATGGTGTTTGTTAACTTATTCTCCATATTTTTCTAAATTTTTTAAATATTTAAATTTTACTTTAAAAAAATAAGCCAAGGTTGTGGAATTCAGAGACAGACAGGCTTTGTAGATTCTATATGGGATTTGTGTGTGTGTATGTGTGTGTGTGTGTGTGTGTGTGTGTGTGTGTGAGACAAGCCTGTTATTCTGTACTATAAAATTTTTAACTAAAAAAAAATTATATTATTAGTTTGGTGCAAATGTAATTGCAGTTTTTGCACTGTTGAAATTTGCCATTTAATACTGGAATACACTCTTAAATAAATGGTTATGTTATACATCATTTTAATGCACATTTCTTGCCTTTTCTTGCTAATAACGTATTTTTTGCTTTTTTTTTAGACTATGGAAATTATGTTAGACAAAAAGCAAATTCAAGTGATTTTCTTGAGTTCAAAATGGGTCGTGAAGCAGTGGAGACAACTCACAACATCAACTACACATCTGGCCCAGAAACTGTGCAGTGGTGGTTCAAGAAGTGTTGCAAAGGAGACGAGAGCCTTGAAGATGAGGAGTGTAGTGGCCGGCCAGAAGTTGGCAATGACCAACTGAGAGCAATCATCGAAGCTGATCCTCTTACAACTACACGAGAAATTGCCGAAGAACTCAATGTCGACCATTCTACCCTTGTTTGGCAGGCAATTGAAGCCAACTGGAAAGGTGAAAAAGTTTTTTTTGTTTGTTTGTTTTTGAGATGGAGTCTCACTCTATCACCTAGGCTGGAGTGCAGTGGTGTGATCTGGGCTCACTGCAACCTCTACTTCCTGTGTTCAAGCGATTCTCGTGCCTCAGCCTCCCTAGTTGCTGGGATTACACATGCCCGCCACCATGCCCAACTAATTTTTGTATTTTTAGTAGACATGGGGTTTCACCACGTTGGCCAGGCTGGTCTTGAACTCCTGGCCTCAAGTGATCTGCCCACCTCCGCCTCCCAAAGTGCTGGGAATACAGGCGTGGGCTACCACGCCCAGCCAAAAGGTGAAAAAGCTTGATAAGTGGGTGCCTCATGAGCTGACCGAAAATTTTAAAAATTGTCGATTTGAAATGTTGTCTTCTCTTATTCTACGTAACGACGACGAACCATTTCTTGGTTGGATTGTGATGTGCGACAAAAAGTGGATTTTATACAACAACAGTGATGACCAGCTAAGTGGCTGGACCGAGAAGACACTCCAAAGCACTTCCCAAAGCCGAACTTGCACCAAAAAGTGGTCATGGTCACTGTTTGGCGGTCTGCTCCTGGTCTGATCCACTACAGCTTTCTGAATCCCAGTAAAACCAATACATCTGAGAAGTATGCTCAGCAAATCGATGAGATGCACTGAAAACTGCAATGCCTGCAGCCAGCACTGGTCCACAGAAAGGGTCCAATTCTTCTCCACAACCACCCGACAACACGTTGCACAACCAACATTTCAAAAGTTGAATTGGGCTACGAAGTTTTGCCTCATCCACCATATTCAACTAACCACTCGCCAACCGACTACCACTTTTCCAAACATCTAGAAAATTTTTTGCAGGGAAAATGCTTCCACAACCAGCAGGATGCAGAAAATGCTTTCCAAGAGTTCATCGAATCTCAAAGCATGGATTTTTATACTACAGGTATAAACAAACTTATTTCTCATCGGTAAAAATGTGTTGATTGTAACAGTTCCTATTTTGATAAATGAAGATCTGTTTGGGCCTAGTTACAATGATTTAAAATTCACAATCCAAAACCACAATTAATTTTGCACCCACCTAACAGTACCTACATTTATTATTTCAACTGCTCTTCAACTTTTTTTTTTGAGATGGAGTCTCCCTCTGTCAACCAGGCTGGAGTGCAGTGGCACGATCTCAGCTCACTGCAACCTCCACCTCCCAGGTTCAAGTGATTCTCCTGCCTCAGCCTCCTGAGTAGCTGGGATTACAGATGCCCACCACCGCGCCCCGTTAATTTTTGTATTTTTAGTAGAGATGGGGTTTTGCCATGTTAGCCAGGCTGGTCTCAAACTCCTGACCTCACCTGCCCACCTTGGCCTCCCAAAGTGCTGGTATTATAGGCACGAGCCACTGCATCCAGCCTAATCTTACTCTTTAAAAGAATAAAGTAAGGGCCGATAATAACAAATGTCTTAACCCAGAAATCTAACCTTTTTGAATTATGTTATCCATTCACAGAAGCATTTAAAACACTACAAGTGTGCAGTAAACTAACAGCAAAAGCCAACAAGCTCTAATCACTTAAACTCTAGAGGATATGTGACACAGCTCTTCCTAAAATATCACCAGATGGCTATATAAACTTAGAACGGCTCAACTCCCAGCTGTATATTAACACCAAAACTCCAATAAGCCTATACTGTCATAATAAAAATCGTTTGCCTAAGCATCTTCCAATTCATATTAGATGTATTAATATAAACCATATCCCATCTGAGTTGCCACAACTCCATTTGATATTTAAAACATACCACAACACACACACACACACACACACACACACACACACGGATACAGAACTTGGGAGTTCGGGCTGAGTTCTGTGTTTACAGAGTGCATAGAAACTGATTTTTCTTAAGGTGTCTTTTATAATTCTCAATCAGCTTATTAAGAAGAAAAAAACTAGATGGCTCAGTCCTCTTGGGTTTAATTGTGATCAAATCCCAGAATGTCTTTAGTCATAGTGGAGTTCACAATGATAAAGTTCAAATCAGCTTACCTGCCCCACTCCTCCCATACTACTTCCTACCGCTGCCACTCCTCTTAGGAACTGGAGCCAGTTAACCACCCACTTTCTCAATGGTGAGTGCGACATAAACCTTCAGAAGACATCCAGTGAAAAATAAAGACTTTAAAATAGCAGTTTTTGGCTGAGCGTGGTGGCTCACACCTGTAATCCCAGCACTTTGGAAGGTCAAGATGGGCGGGTCACCTGCGGTCAGGAGTTCAAGACCAGCCTGGCCAACATGGCGAAATCCCATCTCTAAAAAATACAAAAAATCAGCTGGCTGTGGTGGCTTCTGCCTGTAGTCTCAGCTACTTGGGAGGCTGAGACACGAGAATGGCTTGAACCCAAGAGGTGGAGGTTGCAGTGAGCTGAGATCACGCCACTGCACTCCAGCCTGGGTGACAGAGTGAGACTCCGTCTTAAAAAATAAAAAATAAAATAAAATAGCAGTTTTTCCTACGTATAAAAGTAATACATGCTCGTTGTAGAAAAATGGGAAACTCTAAAAGAATAAGAAGCAAAAAAGCCACATTATCCCACCAAGACAGAAATTAATCACTACTAATATTTCCATTCATGGCCATCCAGGGTCTCTTCTATATATAAGTGTCTTAGTTCATTTACCAAACAGGATTTTAAATACTGCAGAACAAGCGGGAAGTAGCATACTAGTTCTTTGGAAGACTAATTTTCTTCATTGTAAAGTTACACTTACTGCTGAGTAAGTCAACCATATGTACAAGAAACTGGAGAGAATGACAAAGGTGAGGGGAATCATACCTGCTCTTTTTCATTCACTCACAGCAAACCATGGAGTCCATGTTTTGGGAACCATTATGTACGCAAAGACCAACTAATGAGTATGTTTCCTTTATAAATAGCAGCCTACTAAATAAACAAATACATACATACAAATATACAGTCTTGCCACAGGAGTTACACACACAGTGAAAGGAATGACATTAAGAGTATTTTTTTTGTCACCATGAAAGTATCTTAAGAGAAAGTAAAGGGATATGTGAAAGGTTGATCTAAAATTCAAGACCTCTTCCACGAAAATATTTTCTGTGCACATAAGATGAAGGAACAATCTCACTACGGAAAATATACCTGTTGGTTTTACAATGCTATAACTTATTTACATGTGTAAATAAATATGCAGGAGTTTAAATAGTCCACAAATATTGACAGCTTACTCTGTACCAGGCAATGTATTAACTGCTAGGGAGTAAGGGAGAGAACAGCCACCAGTCCCTATTTCTGCAGAACTTTCAGTCTACCTCTTGAAATATGATGTCAAACACTAGGCATGTGGTCTCAAGCAAGTCACAACAGTCCTGATTAAATGATGATCTCAAATCCTTGTGATGACCTAAGAAGATATATGTGAAAGTAGCTTATACATCATGTTACCTAAGGTAAAAAGAGATATGTGGCCTTTTGTGCAAAGCACTGTATATAGCAATCATCTTCAATATAAATTATCTCATTTCTTTTAACTGGCAAAAAAGTAATCACTCAAGTTGCTTAATATAATCTCTTTTCACAGTCTCTAAGATTTTAGTATTATCTTTCTCTGCCAATGACCCACATGAAATAACTGAAATTAATTTCCCCATTTTTTTCTAATACAAAAAGCCTTGTTTCCTGATGTCATAATTTATAGGGGTTGGGGGGCAGGCAGCCACAGATCAAAAGCAACTTATTCTAACTCAAGAAAAAAATTATCTTTTAATCTAAGAATCATCATGGAAAGTTTGTTATAGGCTCAGGCTAATCCAAACAGAGTTAGTGACAGGTTAATTGTGGTACTTTGAAAGCAAAGGAGAGCAAGTAGCAATTATTCATACCTTCACTCAGTCTCTAGGACCTAACTCTTAAAAAACAGGGAGATACATATTACAGCCAAACGGCTTTCCAAAAAACATAATTTTTTAAAATATGTTCTACAAAATATTAATTCTTCATATCTAGAAGAAATAGAGTACTTACATTGCTTCTTATCCTACTATTTGTCCTTTTCAAATTCAGCCACCTCAACAATGCAAAAAGTATTGAACTGATGTTTTAAATTTATTTTTACCCTTATTGCAGATACGACTCTCAAGAGCATGGGACATTTTTTTTTTTTTGAGATGGAGTCTCGCTCTGTCACCCAGGCTGCAGTGCAGTGGCACAATCTCAGCTCACTGCAACCTCCGCCTCCTGGGTTCAAGAGATTATCCTTCCTCAGCCTCCCAAGTAGCTGGAACTACAGGCGCGTGCCACCACGCTGGGCTAATTTTTTGTATTTTTAGTAGAGGCGGGTTTCACGGTGTTAGCCAGGATGGTCTCGATCTCCTGACCTCATGATCCGTCTGCCTTGGCCTCCCAAAGTGCTAGGATTACAGGCCTGAGCCACCGCGCCCAGCCTAGCATGGGACATTTTAAAGGTATTCATGATCCAACTAAACTGGACCAGCAAAACTAGTGAAATGCCCAAAAACAAGCATCTATAAATGCTCAATATTAAACCTTAAGAGTCTAAAGCAGTAGTATCCAAAGCAAGTATAACATATGCACGGTGGCTCACACCTGTAATACCAGCACTTTGGGAGGCCAAGGCAGGCAATTCACTTGAAGCCAGGAGTTCCAGATCAGCCTGGCCAACATGGCAAAATCCCGTCTCTAGTAAAAAATACAAAAATTAGCCAGGCATGGTGGCACACACCTGTAATCCCAACTACTCAAGTGGCTGAGGCGCAAGAATCACTTCAACCCAGGAGGCAGAGGTTGCAGTGAGCCAAGATCGCACCACTGCACACCAGCCTCGGTAACAGAAAAAGACTCTTGTCTAAAAAATATATACATATTATACATACACATATATATATGTTATATATACACATATATATTATATATTATGTATACACATATACAATGTATACACATATATATTAAATATATACACACACACACATACATACATACACACACGCACACGCATACCTCCAGGAGTAACCAAGACACCCCAGGGTAAAAAAGGAAAATATCTGAACTTTATTTTTAATTATCATCCTTGTTGATTTTTTGTTCGTATTTTATAAAGTCCACAATAATCAGTTACTATACATATATTATTTGTAAATCAAATATCTAAGGATTAAGAATTGATGCTCAATTTTTTTCTTTTTCTCTTTTCTCAAAGCAACAACACGAAGTCCTATCAATTTTTTTTTTCTGACTTCATTCTTCCCATCTCATCTTTTTTTTTTTTCTAAAGAGATGGTCTCGCTATGTTGTCCAGGCTAGAGTACAGCGGCTATATTCATAAGCACAATCACAGTGAACTTTAGCCTTGAACTCCTGGCCTCAAACATTCTCCTGCCTCAGCCAACTAAGTAGATGGGACCACAGAACCATGTACCGCACCTGCTTAATGCTCAAAATTTTTTAGTGATGGGGTAAGCAACCAAAAAGTTTGAAGACCACTGGTCTACACCACTCCCTTGTCACTGATCTTTCATTTTTATCAGCTCCCTCCGAAGAGTTAAGCTATGGAAGTAAGTCCTGATGCTGAAAAAGAAACAGAAAACTGTTTCAAACTACTTTAAACTCCCAACAAGCTAAAGATGACAAATCACTAGCAAGAATATATGGAATTGAATACTAATACACTGTTGATGGGAATTTGAAATAGACATCCTATCTAAAGGGCATCTTGAGTATATCTAAATTTAAAACACACGTACCGTTTGACCTAATAATCCCACTTTTTTTTTTCTTTTGAGACTGAGTCTCACTCTGTGGCCCAGGCTAGAGTGCAGCAGCTTAATCTCGGCTCACTGCAACCTCTGCCTCCTGGGTTCAAGTGATTCTCTGTGCCTCAGCCTTCCAAGTAGCTGGAATTACAGAGGCCCGCCACCACACCCGACTGATTTTTGTATTTTTAGTAGAGACGGGGTTTTACCATGTTGGCCAGCCTGGTCTTGAACTGCTGACCTCAGGTGATCCACCCGCCTTGGCCTCCCAAAGTGCTGGGATTACATGCATGAGCCACCACGCCCAGGTAATAAACCCACTTTTAAGAATTTATCCTGGGCCAGGTGCAGTGGCTCAGGCCTGTAATCCCAGCACTTTGGGAGGCGGAGGCAGGTGGATCATGAGGTCAGGAGATCGAGGCCATCCTGGTCAACATGGTGAAACCCTGTCTCTACTAAAAATACAAAAAATTAGCCGGGCGTGGTGGCATGCGCCTGTACGCCCAGCTACTCAGGAGGCTGAGGCAGGAGAATCGCTTGAACCCGGGAGGCAGAGGCTGCAGTGAGCCTAGATCGCACCACCGCACTCCAGCCTGGGCGACAAAGTGAGACTCTGTCTCAAAAAAAAAAAAAAAAAGAATTTATCCTAAGGAAATAATAAAATAATAGAACAATTCAATGCAATTCAATGTCCAAACGAGTTCATCACAGTACTGCTTTAAGAGAAAAATTGACAATATCCATTAATAACACAGAACTGCTATAAACTATGATGCATCCATATTATAAACACTAAATGCTCATTAAGGGAATATCAATTTTACAGGGAAAGTTGTTCTTTTTAAAATTATTTCAATAGATATGTATAAGAAAAAAAACAAAAATACCAAACATTACATCCAGATGGGATTACAGGTCATCTCTACTTTTTTTTTTAAAAAACACTAAAACCGTTCTGGGCCAGGTGCAGTGGCTCACGCCTGTAATCCCACCACTTTGGGAGGCGAAGGCAGGCGGATCACCTGAGGTCAGGAGTTCGAAACCAGCCTGGCCAACATGGTGAAACCCTGTCTCTACTAAAAATACAAAAATTAGCCAGGCGTGGTGGCAGGTACCTGTAATCCCAACTACTCAGGAGGCTAAGGCAGCAGAATTGCTAGAACCAGGAGGCTGAGGTTGCAGTGAGCTGAGATCACACCACTGCATTCCAGCCTGAGTGACAGAGCGAGACGCCATCTAAAAAAAAAAAAAAAAAAAAAAGTTCCGTAGCTTTCATAACCAGAAATAATTTCATTTTGAAATTTAAAATAAGATTAAGTTAAAACTCCAAATTATAGTGTCCTATATCACTTCCAAAACTCTTTATAAACACTCTGCCTTCCCATGTCATTTGTGGAATCAGTCTAAACAATTAAATATTTGGTTTATCTCATGGAAAAATGATAGGCATAGAATAAATAACAACCCTATTTCAAGTTATAACCATCTTGTCTTCATACCAATTCTTGCCAGTTATGTCATGATTTATCAATATACTTATAATTTCCTTATATTTTGCCAGATTATAAATCTATGAATAATTCTGAAAACTAAATAAATTTATATTTCTCTTCTGCAACTAAGTTATAAAAGTATTAACGACTTGGGGAGGCTGAGGCAGGGAGAATCACTTGAACCCAGGAGGCGGAGGTTACAGTGAGCCGAGATCGCGCCACTGCACTCCAGCCTGGGCAACAGAGCGAGACTCTGTCTCAAAAAAAAAAAAAAAAAAAAAAAGTATTAACTAATAAAGAAATTAGATTTCGACCCCAGGTAAGTGAAATCAGAAAAGCTTGCTATCATCTGTCATAACAGAATCATTCTGAATATCCGTAGTTATCAGCATCAAGACAATACCTCTGTGGTTAAAGTACTCCATACTCCATGTTAAGGGAAAAGAGTACTTAAGAATATTATTACAGCATAAGTTCATGTGCTTTGTTCATTAAATCAACAGTTCAGAACATAGCTATGAGGTATTTCACCACTAACAGAATAGCTTTAAGGTAACCCACCTTCACAATTTTCTTTTTGTTTTCGTTAGTTTCATGCCTTACTATTTTATAGACAGTCATTCTATCCACATTGCCCAAGTACTATGTCCCCAAACAACGACGACAAAGTTTTATCACAACCCAAAAGAAAAAAACAACCTTTTAGGCCAGGCACAGTGGCTCATGTCTACAATCCCAGCACTTTGGGAGGCCAAAGCAGGAGGACTACCTTTGAGCCCAGGAGTTCAAGACCAGCCTGGGCAACGTAGCAAAACCCTGTCTCTACAAAAAATGAAAATTATAATTTTTAAAAAGAAAAAATACATTTTACACGGCAACCAAGTATACATACATAAAAATATCTTTTAAAAAGAAACAAAAGTTTCCCAAATCTTGAACCCGGGAGGCAGAGGTTACAGTGAGCCGAGATCGTGCCACTGCACTCTAGCCTGGGCAAACAGAGCAAGATTCTGTGTCCAAAAAAAAAAACAAAACAAAACAGTATTAACTACTAAAGAAATTAGATTTAGACCCCAGATAAGTGAAATCAGAAAAGCTTGCTACCATCTGTTGTAACAGAATCATTCTGAATATCTGCAGCTATCAGCATCAAGACAATACCTCTGTGTCTATATTTACTTTTACTTTATGCAATGTACTGATATATTCTCTTTCTGAAAATGCTTTTTTAAATAAGTACATTGATTTCATTACCCTATGACACTGCCACCTGCTACTTAAAAACACAGCCTTAGAACTTTACACAGAATGTGCTGAACTCCTTGCTCCTACCACCTTCTACCACTGCTCCAACATAAGAAAATGGGTGAAATCTAGCCAAGTCTATTCCAAGTAGAGACCTTGGCATAAATGTGAGACATCCCAGGTTCCTCTGAAGTCCCTGCAACATTGTGACTATTCCGACTGGCAGACAGGATACATGTGCTGAAAGGTTTCTCCAGCCAGAGTACAGAAGCAGAAACCTTCTCTGTTGCCATATCAGTGATATTGGTAAATTCTGCACTTGACAATACAGACTAGGTTTACCACTGCTCCACAAGCCAATTCTTCAAAGACATAAAATAGGATTCTAATACAATACGATTCTAATACCAGCCCCTTACATTTTTAGAATGCTTTTCATATACACTATTGTTTGATCCACAGTCTGTTAGAAAAGTAGAAAAGTTGCTCTTCTTCCTTTCACTAATGAGGGAACTGGAGCTCAGGGGGGTTATGTAGCTTGCCAGAAACAACATGGGTAATGAAGAATAACAACCCAGGCTTGAACCCAAGATTTACTATCTACCCACTTTCATGCTACAATTTTCATTTTTAATATCTGATACAAATATGAACTTAAAAGGTATATTGTTTCTAGATACAAAAGCAAAGATGAAAGCATATCAGTATTGATATCACAAAATTAAGATTAAAAATAGCAATGACATGTTAATAATTTGGTAGCCTCTAAAGTTACTGGGAGTTCTAGTTCAATCCAGTATGAATCTGATATCATCTTATAACTTAAATCAATGTTACACTGATTATAAATTTATCTATATATTCATCATAGAAAATTACAGAATTAGGTGGTAAGAAACAGCTAGCTATATAAATTGCACAAACTCCCCCCAAACCATTCTCAAGTCTCATGACTTCACACTAAATTATGAAGTTCCCAATGTAAAACCCAATTTGATTTCAACACTAAGCCAATTACAACAGCATAAGCATGTTCTTTCTACATAACACTTGCAACATACATTCAACATCGGAAGCACTTTTGGACAATGTCTAAAATCCATAAGCTAAAAGCAGAACCCAACACAGAATCTTGTTTCTTTTAAATAATAAAAGTTCATCTACCTATATGAGATGAATACCAAATAACATAATTAGAAATGATTAAAAATTTGCAGAATCAGGCTAGAGAAACTACTTGAGGTCAAAGACTATAGGCCCTTAATTGTATATATGAGAAAACTGACGCCCAGAGAAGTTAAGTGACATTCCCAACAGCAATAAATGACACAGATGGAATCAGAATATATGTCTGTCAATCCAGAACTTCCCACTATTCTATACTACCTTTGCACTTACTGTGCTCTTAAAAAAGTAACTAACATCTGAAACACTTAAGATTCATTAAGACTCAAAAACTAGGGGACTCGATAATGTTCATGACAGTCTTTAGAAAACAATTTCTTAAAGGAATCTCAAAAATTCCAAACAATAAGCACTGAAAGCTGGCTCTTCATTTTCATTTTCTTTCCTACCCAGAGCCCTATTTGATCAAAAATTGGCTCTTTAATCCATTGCAAAATATCAGGTAGCTTTTAATAACTAACACTGCTATAAACCACCATAACTGTTCTTTTTCCCATATCAATAGTATTCACTTAATTAAAAAATATCTGAGGGCACAGAATATGCGGATAACTGCGCTGGATACTGGGGACACCAGGGAACAAAACAGACAAGGCCTCTGGCTCTTCTAATGGACAGCTGGGTGCAACTCTAAAAATACTACTCTATGATTTGACAGGATATTTACCAAAGCCCTTCACTACTCTACACAATTGTAACAACATTTTCTTCCACCTCTTCCAAACTTGTAAGAACCTTCACCACACCCCCCTCTAAAACACGAATACTTCCTTTGGTAACAGCATTCCACTTTACTGAAGAAGGTGTGAACGTGTTAACTAGAACTACAGCAGATTTTTAAACTGACTTTACCACTCCTCATGGCCTGCGGCAAATCTCAAGAACTTTTCACAATACATAGTAACCCTTCCTGGTTCACAACCCGGGTCTCAAATGATTGCTAACACACCCATCCTACCCTCCACTAGAAATCTGAGTCAGATGGTTTAGGAGCAACCATAATGGTGGGAAGCATCTTCAGTGGACCCCTTTATGAGCCAGAAGCCGACTTACTCCCTCTCCTTCTCTGTTTATTTCCTCTGGATCCTTCAATATATCTCTGGATACAGTATATCTCCAATTAATCAGCATCTAATTTTATCAAGTGTGTTCCTAATAACTTGTTTGCAAATTAACTTTTGGCAACAAATCTGTTTCCCCTACATAAATCCATTATATTTTAAGAGATGCTCAATTTGCATCTCTTTAAGTTTCTCATGCTTCCCCTTCTCCACCTCTTAAATTCTTAAAGATCTATAAACAAAAGCACCCTGAGAAGTCATAATTAATGGGACTTCTTTGGAATACCCAACCTAAAGCAAAAGTTCACATGCCTTGCTGACCAGAATCATTCACGGAGCTTTGTAAGGACAGATCCCCAGGCTCTATCCTCAGAGATTTTAATTCACCAGGTCCTGCATGAGTTCGAGGAATTTAGGTAGTCCATAATATTTCTAATGACCAGCCTTAAACTAGACAACCACTGAAGAACCTGGCCTATGAGCTGAGAAACTCAGGGTTTTTTATGGCTGGTCATTAACGACAAGCGGGGCTGTACCACTGTGCTGGTCACTTGAAGTTCTCTGAGTCACCTGAAAATGAGGGAGTAATTGGAGCCAAAAGAGGTATTCATAGGCAGCCAATCTAAAATTCTAGAATCCTCCAAATTTAATTTAATATCACATACTATACTGGGTTTACTCAAAACAGTGTCATTCTGGCTGGCGGCAGTGGCTCACGCCTATAATCCCAACACTTTCGAAGGCCAACGCAAGCGGATCACTTGAGGTCAAGAGTTCCAGGCCAGCCTGGCCAACATGGTGAAATCCCCGTCTCTACTAAAAATACAAAAATTAGCCAGCCGTGGTGGCGCACACTTGTAATCCCAGCTACTTGGGAGGCTGAGGTGGGAGGATTGCTAGAACCTGGCAGGCGGAGGTTGCAGTGAGCAGAGATCGCACTACTGCACTCCGGCCTGGGCGGGAGAGAGAGATTCTGTCTTAAAAAAAAAAAAAAAAAAAAAAAAAAAAAGTGTCATTCTGTAAGCTCTTCTAGCCTACCCAAGTCATAGGCCCTATAAAGGGAAGACTTTCTGCATGCCATCAATGTCTCCTGTCCTACTGAACAGCCCTGAATCTGAAAGGGGAAGGTCCCCACCACCTCTCCATGGACAAATCACAAACATTTCACATTGAAAAAAATAATAATAATCTCCTGTAATTCAACCCAGGCCTCTTATGGCATTACCATTCACATATGAGAAAGTTGAACCTTAACTAGAAAAGTATATGGTTTTGGGGTTTTGTTTTGTTTTGTTTTGTTTGTTTGGGTTGTGGAAAAATAGATGTCAGAATCAAGATACTACAACAGTAAGAATTTAGGCCTGGGTCTGGAAAGGACATTTGAACATCAATATGTAATAGCAGTCCATGTCCAAAACTCACAAGTGAGATTATCAAATTCCAGGGGAGTCTATTAATGTGGCCAAAAAATCTACCCCATAATTTTGACATAAGTTTTCCAGTCCAAAATACAACCTACAGTATCATCTTATGGGTCCGGAAATGCCATACATCAAGCAAAATTACTACCGGAGAAATAACACTGTAATCATTTGCGGAGCAGTCTGACCAGGGTTCCCTCAGTTACGCCAACCGCCCCCAATCATCCTACCCACCTAAGTACTACCAGGTCAGGGGGATGCCCTGCTGCACGATCGGGCGGTCACTCCTCCTTTCCACAAGGCCCAGGCCCGCACCGTTCGCCCCGGGGCTCCCATGGCCCCTGACCTCCAGTATCCGGCAACGATGGACCGCCACAGACCCGGCAGGGGGCGAAGGGCGCACACCCACCTCCCGGGAGTTCGTGGGAATAACTCCGGGCGCTCCGAGGGTACGTCCCACACCCAGAGCCGCACGGGCCCATCCCCGCCAGGTCTGGGAAGGCAGCCCGAGCCCGGGACCCCGCCTCCCCCGCATCTAGGGTCCGGGCCGAGCTCGGCCGCCGAGCTCCCATTCCCACTCCCACACCCAGCGCCTCCCCCTGGCGGCGACAGCCGCCGGGGACGCCCCTCCCCGGGCCCCGCACGCAGTCCCCAGCCCTCCCAGGGCGCTGCCTCCTCAGAGGGTGACAGCCGCCTGGCCAGGGCCGGGGCCGAGGCCGGCCCCTCCTCCAGCTCTTCCTCACCCGCCGAGGAGACGGAGGACGGGGATGGGGTTCTTACCGGGCAGCAGGACATGGCGAGGCCCTCCACGGCACAGTCTCCCCCTCCGCCACCCCACCAGGCTCCCTGCCAGGGCCGGCGCTGGGCAGCGCCTGAGCCGCTGGGACGTCTCGTCCGGCTGCTACTCCGCCGCCGCCGCCGCCTTCTCACAACCACAACAACATGGCGGCAGCGGCCACACAGAGCGCGCTCCCGACGCCGAGCCGGGCGACGAGCGAGGACGCGCGCGCACGCTCGGGCGCTGAGCCCGGTGTCCGGGAAAGGGGGCGGGTCTCCGCCGGTTGGACGGGGGCGGGGCCTGGACAGGTGGTCACGCCCCAGGAGATGGGCGGGGCTGCAGCTGGGGAGAGGCTCGCGAAAAAGCCCAGCGGAGCAAGAATGGCTAGACAGATGGGAAATGGGTGGAGGAAAAGAGATGACAAAAAAAAATCTGGAAGAAAACCAAAGGTGGTCCTACAGATTTTTAGGAGGCGTCTTTTCCAAGCTCTGTAACCCTGGGCAAGACATGGCTCACTCTACTTACCAGAAAAATAGAACAATAGTGGTATCTTCCACCTGCAATTGTGGTCAGGATAAAACCAGTTTAATATAATGCAAGTAAATATAGTGTTTTAGAAGTTGTATTCAGAATACAATTTCTTTTCTTTTCTTTTCTTTTTTTTTTTTTTTTTTTTTTTTTTGAGACAGAGTCTGGCTCTGTCGCCCAGGCTGGAGTGCAGTGGCATCTCGGCTCACTGCAACCTCTGCCTCCCGGGCTCAAGCGATCCTCACACCTCAGCCTCCTGAGTAGCTGAGACTACAGACTCACAACATCATGCCCGGCTAAATTTTGTATTTTTTGTAGAGATGAGGTTTCTGCCATTTTGTCCAGGCTGATCTCAAACTCCTGGGCTGAAGCAATCCACCCACCTCGGCCTCCCAAAGCGCTGGGATTACAGGCATGAACCACCGCATCCGGTCCAGAATACAATTTCAAACTGATTCAACTTCAGCTCCTAATCAAAAGCTCAGCGGGAAGAAGTGAGTTTTCAAACAAAGTAAAAAACAACTCCCCCAAAAAATTGTAACCTACCCACACTAGCCTGCAGAATTCCACAAACCAGGATTGCATTACCGTAGGCCCTAACAGATTCACCTCCTCTGAGTTGCCTTTTAACATTCTACCCTTGACTTTTCTGGAAACTGGGAGAACTAGTCAAATGAAATCTATTCCTGCGTCTGTTGTAAAGTTTTTCCACAGCACTTTCTGAAATTTATTTTCAATGTTTACTGTCATTTTACTCCACTAAAATGTAAAAGCTACTTGAAGATAAGGATCTTGTCTTGTTCGTCACTGTTTCCCCAGCACCTAGAACTGTGCAGGTTAAGTAGTAGGCAGTCGAATTTCTTGATTAACTAACAGCTGGCTGGGCGCGGGGGCTCACGCCTGTAATCCCAGCACTTTGGGAGGCCAAGGTGAGTGGATCACCTGAACTCAGGTGTTCGATACCAGCCTGGCCAACTTGGTGAAACCCCGGATCTACTAAAAATACAAAAGTTAGCTGGGCATGGTGGCGGGCGCCTGTAATCCCAGCTACTTGGGAGGCTGAGGCAGGAGAATAACTTGAACCCGGGAGGCGGAGGTTGCAGTGAGCTGAGACTGCGCCACCGCACTCCAGCCTGGGCGACAGAGCAAGACTCCGTCTCAAAAAAACGAAACTAAACTAACAGCTAACATTTATTCATACAACTCATCTAATTGAATCTTCACAACTTTAATAGGTAGATGCCATTATCTCCATATTACAGATGAAGAAAGTGAAGCACAGAATAAATTGCGTGTATTAAAACAAAATTCAAACCCAGCAGACAAAAAAAAAAAAAAAATACTGTGCTGTCTTACCCACCAGGCTGTACTGCCCAGTGCATGGACACAGTAGCCTGAAATAAAATCTCAAGTAAGAAATTACTTTAGGCCGGGCGCAGTGGCTCATGCCTGAAATCCCAGCACTTTAGGAGGCCGAGGCAGGTGGATTGCTTGAGCTCAGGAGTTCGAGACCAGCCTAGGCAACATGGCGAAATCCCATCTCTACAAAAAATACCAAAAAACTGGCCAGGCGTGGTGGTGCACGCCTGTAGTCCCAGCTATTTGAGAGGCTGAGGTGGGAGAATGGCTTGAGCCTGGGAGGCAGAGGTTGCAGTGAGCCCTGATTGTGCCACTGCACTCCAATCTGGGTGTCAGAGAGAGAAAAAAGAAAGAACGAAATAAATTACTTTAGAGTTAAAAGCTTGGAAAGCCCTTGCTTTACTACCAGAAAAACCGGTGTGCTTCCTGCTTTTTGATAACTGTTACGCATCTGATTGTGTCTCTCTTTTCACTCTGGCTTCCAGAAAGCCCAGGGCTAAATGTGAAGCTCAGCAATGACCTCTTCTTGGCCCTTGAGGGTCCACTCCTGCCTCAACTTTGCACCTGTATTTATATGTGGCTGCCCTGATTTTCCCTTTCTGTTCTATGACTGACTATAGGCTTAATGGAATGGGAGAAGAAACAGTAAATACTAAAATTGATGAATGATTTAAAGTTTTTTTATTTTATTTTATTTTATTTTATTTTTGAGACAGAGTTTCACTCTTGTTGCCCAGGCTGGAGGGTAATGGCGGGAACTTGGCTCACTGCAACCTCTGCCTCCCGGGTTCAACCGACTCTCCTGCCTCAGCCTCCCGAGTAGCTGGGATTACAGGCATACGCCACCACACCCGGCTAATTTTTTGTATTTTTAGTAGGGACGGGGTTTCTCCATGTTGGTCAGGCTGGTCTCGAACTCCCGACCTCAGGTGATCCACCAGTCTCGGCCTCCCAAAGTGCTGGGATTACAGGCATGAGCCACCGTGCCCGGCCTCTTTTTATTTTTATATTTTATTTTATTTTCAGACAAGGTCTCACTCTGTTGTCCAGGCTGGAGTGCAGTGGCTGGATCTCTGCTCACTGCAACCTCTACCTCCCAGGGCTCGAGCCATCCTCCCACCTCAGCCTCTTGAGAAGCTGGGACTACAGGCGTGCTCCACCACACCTGGCTAACTTTTGTATTTCTCATAGAGACGGGGGGTGGGGGTGGTGTCTCACCGTGTTCCCCAGGCTGGTCTCAAACCCCTGAGTTCAAACGATCCATCTGCCTCCGCCTCCCAAAGTGCTGGGATTACAGGGGTAAGCCACAACGCCCAGCCTTAAACTTTAAAAATTAAGAAAAAAAAAAAAAGGACTTTCCAACCTGTTTTTCCCATTGTCTGATAAACCAAGGTTCTCATCAGCCATTAAGCCCCCCCGCAGGGAAATTCCCTTAACCAGTCATCTGCTCAGGGAAAGGCCATAGGACGAACTGCCACAGGTTGGTGGCCTCTGATTGGACTGAAGCTAGCACCTGACTCCAGGACAGCCCACCCATAGGCCACCTAGCTTCCAATGAGAAGGCACAGGGCAAAGAGTTCTGCCAATAGGCAGTCAGCATACACTCAACCAATCCCACAGCTCCCCAATTCACCATGGGAGAGCGAAGGAGATGGCTTGTAATTTTGACCTCTTTTTAGACGGAATGTCATCGTGTTTGCCTTTTAATCTGGGCTAAATAATCTTCAATTGAATCTTCAACCAGTATTTGGGACATAGGAGGAATTTCTCTATGCCCATGAAATCACACTATTTGCACCTTCTCATTTTCATAATAGCTAACATGAATTGGAGTGAGTGGCTATTCACCGACCAGATATCAGCACACTACAGCTTCCAACTCCCCGGCTCCAGCAACCCTCCTGCCTCGGCTTCCCTACTGGGTCTAGAGGTATTCACCACTGCAACTGGCTGGATTGAACCTTTCAATTGTGGCGGGCGCTATACGAGCACTTTACATGTATATCTAATGTAATCTTAGGCCGGGCACGGTGGCTCACACCTGTAATCCCAGCACTTGGGGAGGCCGAGGCGGGCAGATCACCTGAGGTCAGGAGTTCGAGACCAGCCTGGCCAACATGGTGAAACCCCATCTCTACTAAAAATACAAAAATTAGCCAGGCATGGTGGCAGGTGCCTGTAATCCCAGCTACTCCGGAGGAAAATTGCTTACTCAGGAAAATTGCTTGAACCCGGGAGGCAGAGGTTGCAGTAAGCCAAGATGGTGCCTCTGCACTCCAGCCTGGGTGACAGAGCGAGACTCTGTCTCAGAAATAAATAAAATAAAATAAAATTTAAAGGTAATGTAATCTTTACAACAACACTATAGGAAGGTATTGTTACTGTCCTCCATTTTACACATAAGAAAGTGTAAAGGTCAGGATTTGAACCCAGAAGATTTGACTCCAAGTTCATGCTTGTCAACTTCATTACTACACCTCATCACCACTGCTGCCCACTTGCTTACCTTTAAGACAGACTTTAGTAAATTATTTATAAATAAGAAAGAGAAAACTGCAGCATGGCCTTGAAAACTCACCTCAAGAAGAAGGGCCTAAGGAGACTCAATAGAAAGCTGGTCTGTGTCTAAAGACTTAAATTTGAATCTTGTCGCCTCCTCATATCTGCTTCTCTTTTCCCTTTTCTATGCGTCAGTTTCCTCATCGCCTTCTAGGGTGGTAATCACTAACCTACTTAACTCATGTTGGCCGGTCTCCGTGGCTCACGCCTGTAATCCCAGCACTTTGGGAGGCAGAGGCGGGTGGATCATGAGGTCAGGAGATCGAGACCATCCTGGCCAACATGATGAAACCCTGTCTCTACTAAAAATACAAAAATTAGTCGGGTGTGGTGGCACGCGCCTGTAGTCCCAGTTACTCTGGAGGCTGAGGCAGGAGAATCGCTTGAGCCTGGGAGGTGGAGATTGCAGTGAGCCGAGATCACGCCACTGCACTCCAGCCTGGCAACAGAGCGAGACTCTGTCTCAAAAAAAAAAAAAAAAAGAAAGAAAAGAAAAAGAAAAAAGAAGCATGTTAGGGTTCTTTAAGGTAATGGGTTTGAGAACGTTTTATATTCCATTTAAAGCCAAAGCAGTGCACAGGTTCCTTGTGTGCTTTGGCTGAAGACAAAGCCCCAGCTTTGTGCACTGACTCAAGGAAAGAGGGAACCAATCCTCGCTTCATCTCGCTGCCCTATTTCTCATGTGAGGTCCTCTACCCGCCTGACCGTCTCCTCCTCCTCCTGCTGTCCTTTCAGCCTTGCTCCCCATCCTATCTTCAAAGCTGAAAATGTTATTCCAGCTACACAGGGACTCTGAAATAGCCTAAGACAGATGAAAATGCTGATTGAGGGTTGGAGGCTTCCTAAAGTCATGCAGGGCCCCTGGAAGGCAGGGGTCCCTCAGCCTCCCAAAATGCAGACTTCCCAACACTGGGTAATACTGCTTAACTCTAAATGTCACTCATTTCAGTGGGCACTTTGCGTGAATTAGCCCATAATCTCTTCAGCATCTCCTTGGTCTCCCAATCCAGCTAGCAGACAGGAGTAACTGTGGTTTTCAGACTTTGAGGAACAATTTGCCACGGGTCAGACAGAAATTAGAGTTGAATCATGTTGCTGTGATTCAATGTCTCCTGGGATTTTCCAAACACCACACTGCAACCCTACTGTAGGAGAGGGTAATTTCAACTCTGATTGAGCCTAGAGCAGTGATTCTCAAAGCATAGTCCACAGGTCCCTGGAGGGTCCTGAGACTTTTTCAGGGTTCTAGTTGGGTCAAAACTATTTTCATAGGCCAGGAGTGGTGGCTCACACCTGTAATCCCAGCACTTTGGGAGGCCGAGGCAGGCAGGTCACTTGAGGTCAGGAGTTTGAGACCAGCCTAGCCAATATAGTGAAGCCCCATCTCTACTAAAAATACAAAAATTAGCTGGGCATGGTGGCGGGCGTGTGTAATCCCAGCTACTCATGAAGCTGAGGCAGGAGAATCGCTTGAACCCAGGAGGCAGAGGTTGCAGTGAGCCGAAATTGCGCTACTACACTCCAGCCTGGGCGACAGAGTGAGACTCCATCTCAAAATAAATAAATAAATATAAAATAAATAAAAACTATTTTAATAATACTAAGAAATTGTTTGCCTTTTTACTGTGTTGACATTTGCACTAATAGTGCAAAAGCAGTGGTAGTAAAACTGGTGGCACTTTATCACAAATCAAGGCAGTGATATGATATGTACTAGTAGCCATTGTACTCTTCACCAACATACCCTAGTAGTAAACAAAATGCCAGTTTCACTTAAGAAAATCATTGATGAAGCAGTAACAAAAAATATGTATTTTATTATCTCTATATATTTGAATACAAGCCTTTTTACTATTCTGTGTGATGGATTGGAAATTACACATAAAGCCCTTTTTTCACTTTTTCAATTGAGGTGAAATTCACATAACATGAAATTAATCATTTTAAGTGGACAATTCAGTGGCATTTTGTGCATTCACAATGTTATGCAACCACTACTTCTGTCCCATTCCAAAACGTTTTCATCACTGTAAAATAAAGCCCTCTACCTATTAGGCACTTATTTCCCACACACAAAAAGCACGTTTACTATTCAGAAGTAGGACAGTGGTCTCAAAGAAAAACACTTTTGCAATTGTTTGAGTTGCAAGATGAGCTAGCCTCTTGTTTAAGGAAATATCATTTTTACTTGAAAGAATGGTTAACATGCAAACTACAGTTACTCAGATTTGGGTGTTTGGCAGACATTTTCTCAAAAATATATGAAGTAGGTTTGTCACATCTAGTAAGACAGCTAATAGTATTTGTTGTCAATGATAAAATTCAAGCTTACTTACAATTTTGGAAAACTTAAATGTCCCACCATGAGCTTGACAGCCTCCCAATATACCTTCCCAATACATCTGCTGAGACGGTTGGTGATATTAGCAAAATGAATATTTTATATCATATAATGAAATGTGCCAACATTTTAAAGCACTACATAGTAAACCAATATTTTCCATATGACCAATGCATGATATTATTGGGCGTGGCCATGCATGCCTGTAATCCCAGCTACTCGGGAGGCTGAGGCAGGAGAATCACTTGAACTCAGGAGGCAGAGGTTGCAGTGAGCCAAGATCGTGCCACTGCACTGCAACCTGGATGACAGAGTGAGACTGTCTCAAAAAAAAAAAAAAAAGTATAAGGTAGACCAATGGATTTTAGTGTGAGTATGAAAAATTCATTGATATGAATTTATGCAAATAAACTTTAAGAAACTATTACCTGCCAACCTTTGGTGTAGTATCAAGAAAGAATATCCACAATGAACTGAAATATATAAGGCTGCATTTTCTTCATGTACTTTAACCAAAACAAATTGCCCCAGACTAAATGCAGAAGCAGATATGAGAATGCAGAATTCTTCCATTGTCAGACTTTAATGAAAATTGCAAACATGTTAAAAACAATGCCATTCTTCTCATGAAATTTTTTGTGTGAGAAAATATAGATTTTTTACATAAAAATATGTCATTTATGTTAACACATCATGGATTTACCATGATATTTTTTAAATAACGTCATTTTTTAACTATTAGCAAACCAAATTCAACAGCACATTAACAAGATCATTCACCATGATCAAGTGGGATTTATCCCTGGGATGCAAGGATGGTTCAAATCAATAAATATCAATCAATATACAAATCAATAAATGTGATACACCACATTAACAGAGTGAAGGGCAAAACCATCCCATCATCTCAATAGACACAGAAAGGGCACTTGATAAAATTCAGTATCCTTTCATGATAAAACTCCCAACAAATTAGGTATAGGAGAAATGTATCCCAACATAAGAAAGGCCATATATGACAAGCCCATAGCTAATATCATACTCAATGGTACAAAGCTGAAAACTTTTTCTCTAAGATCAGGAATAAGATAAGGACCCCTACTCTCACCACTTCTATTCAACATAGTACAGGAAATCCTAGCCAGAGCAATTAGGCAAGAGAAAGAAATAAAAGGCATCCAAATCAGAAGGGAAGACGTTAAATAGTCTCTGTTTACGGACAACATGATCATATGTATGGAAAACCCTAAAGACTCCACCAGGAAACCATTAGAACTAATAAACAAATTCAGTTAAGTTCCAGGATGCAAAATCAGCACACAAAGATTAGTAGCACTTCTGTATACTAACAACATAACAACTAATTATCCAAAAAAGGAATCAAGAAAACAATCCCATTCACAATAGCTACCAAAAGAAAAATACTTAGAAATAAATTTAACCAAGGAGGTAAAAGATCTGTACACTAAAAACTATAAAACAACGATGAAACAAACTGAAGAAGGCAAATTAACAGAAAGATATCCCTTGTTTTTGGACTGAAAGAATTGACATTGTTAAAATATCTGTATTATCCAAAGCAATCTACAGGTTCAATACTAGCCTATCAAAATTCCAATGACAGTTTTCACAGAAATTTTTTTAAAGTTCTAAAATTCATATGAACCACAAAAGACTGAATAGCCAAATCTGTCTTGAATGAAAAGAACAAAGCCAGAGGTATCACACTACCTGATTTCAAAATAACAAAGCTATATTAATCAAAATATCATGGTGCTGGCATAAAAACAGACATACAGACCAATGAAACAGAACAGAGAGGCCACAAGTAAATCCAGACATTTACAGTCAATTGATTTTCAACAAAGATGACAACTACACAATGGAGAAAAGACAGTCTCTTCAATAAATGGTGCTAGGAAAAACTATATTCACATGCAGAAGAATGAAATTAGAACTTCATCTTACACCATACACAAAAATCAACTCAAAATGGATTAAAGATTTAAATATATGACCTGAAATTAAAACTACCAGAAGAAAACATAAAAGCTTCATAACACTGGTCTGGGAAATGATTTTTTGGATATGACTCTAAAAGCACAGGCAACAAAAACAAAAATAGACAAATGGGACTACATCAAACTAAAAACCTTCTGCCCAGCAAAGAAAACAACAGAGTAATAAGATAACCTATTGAATGGGAGAATATATTAGCAAACCATACATCTGACTAGGGGTTAATATACAAAATGTATAAAGAACTCAATGGTAAGCAAATAAATAATCCTACTGAAAAAATGGGCAAAAGTTCTGAATAGGCATTTCTCAAAAGAAGACACAAATAGCCAACAGCTATATGAAAAACTGTTGAAGATTACTAATCATCGGGGAAATGCAAATTGAAACCACAATGAGATATCACATAACACTTGTAAAAATGGCTATTATCAAAGAGACGAAACCATACACTGTGGCATGCCTGTAGTCCTAGCTACTTGGGAGGGTGAGGCAGGAGGATTGCTTGAGGCCAGGAGTTTGAGACCAGCCTGGACAACATGGTGAGCCCCTGTCTCTACAAAAAAATACAAAAGTTAGCTGATGTGGTGGCACATGCCTGCAGTCCCAGCTGCTTGGAAGGCTGAGTGAGAGGACCACTTGAGCCCAGGAGGTCAAGGCTGCCATGAGCTATGAGTGTGCCACAGCACTCCAGCCTGGGTTAGAGTGAGACCTTCTCTCCAAAAAATACAAAAAAATTTTAAAAAGAGAGAAATAAAAGTAGGAAGTAAATATTAGTATAAACGTATGAAGCAAATTATGTCAAAAATTCATGAGGATGATACCCAGATAACTGGACATTGGGAAATACTCAAATAGTGTTTGATTGAGCTTTTGATGTTACCATTTCTTTCTATATGGGTGATCTTCATCTGGAAAATGGATTAGTGTGGGAGTTAAATCAGTTAACACAACTACAATAGTACAATGGCACTCAGTAGATGTGAGTGCCATCATCCCTCTAGGAAGAGGTACCCTGCAGTCCAGTGTCAGGGAGGCTTTGCTACAATGGGAGGTAAGAGGCTTGGGTTACTGACCCAGCTGAGCCACTGACTCACTGCCTGATCTGACCCCACCTTTAGGACCTCAGTTTTATCATCCAGATAATGACAGGGTAGAATGTCATCCTCTCCTTGGAGCCTCCTAGTTCTACCAACCATCCTTTGATTAAAGGATCAGCCTCACCTGGTTTGATTACTGCATCAGGGAGCCACAGAATTACAACTGGAAACAACTCAAGAGCTCCAAACGTGTCTCCCTGGCACCGCTGCCTCATTTCATGAATGAAGAACTGAGGGCCAGAGAGGGTAAGCAACTCGCTTAGCCATGTAGGGGATGGTTCTGGAAGAGGAAGTCAGCAGGTTCTGCCCTAGTATCCAGTGGGGAAATGAGAGCGCTTCCTCTTTGTTTTGAAAAATGACTTAGGTATTTAGTGGTTTAGGCACCACCTACCTTAACAAATACCCCAAAATTCTGCTGGGGATAAAAGTCCCACTTCAGCTGGAAAAAAATCAACGCCATAGGTTAGGGAACACTGTGGTAACTGGGTTGATGGATCACTTCGTGTTGCAAACTAAATCTACCTTTAAAAGGTCAGGGCCCCCCTCTAAGTTTCCCCAGGTAAGATAGAGGAGATGAAATTGGCAAGAACAGGTTAGAAAGGTATGGGAGGGTGAGTGGGGGGGTGGCTTCCCTCCTTTTCCTCTCCATTTGACCTCCCTGTCTCCTCTCTCTCCTTTCCCTCCCCTCTCCAATGTAAGACAACACACCTCTCTCAGTGCCCAGTGTGCTGGCCCAAAGCTTCCCTGCAGCCTGGGCCAACTCACCAGCTACAAATAGAACCAGAACCCACTGAAAATAGCTCCTTCTCCCTTCTGCCCAGAACTTCCAATTGCTCACTAAGATGCCCTGCCCTGCACCAAGCGAGCTCCAAGCAGAGAACTGGGGTTGAGGGACACCAAGGTCACAATAGGGGACCATCTCAGGAACAACAGTCCCAATAACAGCTGACTCTATTATAAAGTACTAGGTCAGTGCCAGCACCACTGCAAGAGCCTGGCTTTAGTTCCCTGCCACCCAATGAGGAAGGTCCTGGCTATTAACCTCACCATGCAGATGAAACTGAAAGGTGAGGAACTTTCCCAGGGCCACATAGTGGGAGGTAAGAGGTGGAGCTGGAGTCAGAACCCACCCAGGGGACTGGAGTCCCTATGGTTAACCACTGTGCTACATTGTCTCGGTCTATGCAAGGTCGCTGTACCAACTAGCTCCAGATCCATGAAGCTGTAGGGAGCTCAAACCATCCAGACCCTTCTTTGACAGGCAGGAAAACTGAGGCCCAGAAACAGGAAAGTCTTGCCCAAAGGTACTTAGTAAACGAGTAAATCAAGCACCCAGGTCTCTTGGCTCAGAGGCCAATTGTTTTTGCAGAGGTCAATTGTTTTTGCAGAGGTCAAGGCACACAGAGACTCCCTTATTCCTTTTATGTGGAAGCCGCATGGGCCTTTTTTTTTTTTTTTAACTCAACCTCCTCCCTTTTCCCAACAGAGCAGAGAGCTCCCCACCCCCAGACACCCGTCTGTCAACCAGGCCTCCTGAGAGTACCTCTTCCTCCTCTGCTCAGGGTGTTTAATGTTCTAGAGAAAGAGAGCAAACGGCACGGCATAAATCATGGGTGACACAGGCTGGCTTTCTCCTCTGCTGAATGTGAAGCAGACGGGACTCAGCAGGGGAAGAGAATTAGCAGGGATTTGCTGGCTCATTTAAATTCAAGGTCCAAAGGCTCACATTTCTCCTGCCCCTGAGAGTTAGATAAATTTTCTTCTATTCTGGATCTCATTTGTTATAAAGTAATTCTCTGAAACAGTCTTCACCTCTGCAAAGATGACAAGAAAGAATAGAATAAGGTCACAGAAGCTCCACTGGGGAGGAATTTAAGAAGTGATTGAGGGCTATGAAAGAGTCTCACACCTGGTGTCAGAGGATCTTACGTTCCCAGCCCTGCCGCATCTCTACAGAGTTGGCCAAGCTGCCTCAGTTTCCCCAATGTGTCTGAGAACCAAGGAGTCCAAAGAGATGCAAATGCTCTCTCAGTCAATTTTTTTTTTTTTTTTTGGAGACGGAGTCTCACTCTCGCCCAGGCTGGAGTGCAGTGGTGTGATCTCAGCTCACTGCAACCTCCTCCTCCCAGCTTCAAGCAATACTTCTGTCTCAGCCTCCCGAGGAGCTGTGACTTCAAGCACACGCTGCCATGCCTGGCTAATGTTTTGTATTTTAGTAGAGACAGGGTTTCACCATGTTGTCCAGGCCAGTCTTGAACTCCTGAGCCCAGGCAATCCGCCTGCCTCAGCCTCCCAAAGTGCTAGGATTACAGGCCTGAGCCACCATGCCTGGCCTAGTCAATCTTTTTGTTGTAAATGTTTATTGAGTACCAGGACAAGCTCTGCCCATGCAACCGTGAACAAGACAAAACCAGTCCCTGGCCTCCTGAGACTTACAGTCTAGTTGGTAAGACAAAGTCAACAGAAGCCCAGGTAAGTACTGTAATGTAGAAGATATAGGATTTATGGCAGCAGTTGTGCAGCAGACTTGTGAAGGTCCCGGTGACATTGATACAGAGACTTGAAGGAAGGGGAGGAGCTAAGTGGGCAAAAATCAAAGAAAAAGTTGACTCAGAACCTGCAAATACGCAGAGGCAAAAGAGAGCTGGCCTCTTCCCCCAACAGGTATGGGTTTATTGGGGCATCTTTCTGTGAGGCAGTCTCACCATATTAAGGAGAGAATCTTTGCTGAAATTCTATGATCTAATGTTGTGTTGTTAATCACAGAGTGCAGGCTGGATTCCATAATGGTTACATTCTTTTAATATTACAAATTCCTTTTTCAGCACCTCTAGGAAATAATCAACCCTGTCCCAACAAGTCTCTGGATGTTGAAAAATCCGTTTTTTTTTTTTTTTTTTGAGACGGAGTCTCGTTCTGTCACCCAGGCTGGAGTGCAATGGCACGATCTCAGCTCACTGCAACCTCCACTTCCTGGGTTCAAGCGATTCTTGTGCCTCAGCCTTCCAGGTATCTGGGATTACAGGCACAAGCCACCACACCGGCTAATGTTTGTATTTTCAGTAGAGATGGGGTTTCACCATGTTAGCCAGGCTGGTCTCAAACTCCTGACCTCAAGTGATCCACCTGCATCAGCCTCCCAAAGTGCTGGGATTATAGGCATGAGCCACCATGCCGGGCCTGACAAATCCTTTTATTGTACATATTCCATCTGTCTCCCTGGTTCCCACGTTCGTGACTTTTTAAGGTCGAGTCTTCTAGAATCTGACCCACTGTGTCCTCCCTTATCAGGGCATATGCTGCATAAAAGGGCCCCAAGTGTGATGTGGAGGCCTCAGTCTTTCCAGTAAATTATAGAATTATGTACAATCAGAGAGAAAAAATAAAGCTCATTCTCTACTCTGAGCCCAGTGGTGTGGGAGGTTGCCAGTGAACACCCCTATGGGGAAATGTAGCTCTAAAGGCAGGAACCAGGGGATCAGAAATGTCACTGGAAATGAGTCTCCACTTCCCACCAACAAGGCTCAAAGAGACTGGGCAACTTGCACAGGGTCCTATGCAAAGAAGTGGATGGGCTGGCTTTCAAACCTAAGTGATTGACCTATGTCTTCAGAATTTCTCAAATATTTCTGAGGAAAGGTATTACATTGCTATCATCAAAATAAACCCCCCAAAAAAGATTCCCAGCTAAAAAATAACTGGGGACATGCCGAGTTCAACAAGGTAACCGAACAGTTTTGTTCTTTGCAGCAGAACTTCTGAGAGTCTTGATATACTGATGTACATAATAATCATCTAAGAAGAGCTTATGGAGTTTCCAGAGTTTCCAGAACTCATTTGAGCTGAGAACACATTACTGGGCAATTCTGGGATCTGGGGTCCATGGCACTCACTTTGAGAAACACTGCACTGACTGTTCTATGATCTTGTATTTATATCCTTGTATATAAAGGGAACCCAATCTGTTTGTTTTAGATGGATGATTTCTTTGTTGGGTGACCTCAAGTCAGTAATATTCTCCCCTTTTTGAGCTTCATTTTTATCCTCTACAACAGGTGACAGCAAACTTTTTCTGTAAAGAACCAGATAGGCTGGGCGCGGTGGCTCACGCCTGTAATCCCAGCACTTTGGGAGGCTGAGGCGGGCAGATCACCTAAAGTCAGGAGTTCAAGACCAGCCCGGCCAACATGGTGAAACCCCGTCTCTACTAAAAATATAAAACTTAGCCAGACAAGGTGGTGCACACCTCTAATCTCAGCTACTTGGGAGGCTGAGGCACCAGAATCACTTGAACCCCCGAGATAGAGGTTGCAGTGAGCCGAGATCGCACCACTGTACTCCAGCCTGAGTAACAGAGGGAGGCTCCATCTCAAAAAAAAAAAAAAAAAAAAAAAAAAAAGAACCAGATAATAGGCTGGGCACGGTGGCTCACACTTGTAATCCCAGCACTTTGGGAGGCCAAGGCGGGTAGATCACTTGAGGTCAGGAGTTTGAGACCAGCCTGGCCAACATTGCAAAATCCTGTCTCTACTAAAAATACAAAAATTAGCTGGGCCTGGTGGTGGGTGCCTGTAATCTCAGCTACTTGGGAGGCTGAGGTTGCAGTGAGCTGAAATCACACCACTGCACTCCAGCCTGGGCGACACATTAAGACTCCGTCTCAATTAAAAAAAAAAAAAAGAACCAGATAATAAATATTTAATGTTTTACAAGCCACATACATCCCTGTGACATTTTCTCCCTTCCTTTGTTCCTTCCTTGAACTCTTTTTTCTTTTTTCAAATTTATTTTTAATTGCCAGATAATTATGCATACTTATGGGATACAATGTGCTGTTTCACACATTGTAGAATGATCAAATCAGGGGAATTAGCATATTCATCTCCTCAAATATGTATCATTTCTTTGTGGTGAGAAAATTTAAAATCCTCTCTTCTAGCTATTTCAAAATAGACAAATAAATTATTATTAACTATAGTCAGCTTGCTGTGCAATAAGACACCAGAACTTATTCCTCTAACTATAACTTCACACCCCTTTACCAACATCTCCCCTTTCCTGCTCACCTCCCCACCCCCACCAGCCTCTGAGAACTACCACTCTACCCTCTACTTCTATGCATTTGACTTTCAGATTCCACATAGAAGTGTTTGTCACTGTGCCTGGCTTACTTCACTTCACATAATAACCTCTAGGTTCATCCATGCAACAGCAAATGACAGAATTTCATGTGTTTTTAAGGCTCAATAGTATTCCGTTGTGTCTATATACCACATTTGAAAAAATACATTCATCCACTGATGGACACTTCCATTACTTCCATATCTTGGCTATTGTGATTAGTGCTGCAATGAACATGAGAATGCCAGCATCTCTTCAGCATACTGACTTCAATTCCTTTGGATATGTACCCAGCAGTGAGATTGCTGGATCATATGGTAGCTCTATTTTTAGTTTTTTGAGGAACCTCCGTACTGTTTTCCATAAGGGCTGTACTAATTTACAATAACACCCACTGTGTACAAAGGTACCCTTTCTCCACATCCTTGCCGACACTTTATCTTTCATCTTTTTGATAATAACCTTCTACAATGCCTCAAAATATAAAAACCATTCTTGGCTGTCAGGCCATGAAGACAGGATGGAGGGAAAAGTTGGGGCAGGATTTTGGCCCGAGCTGTAGATTGCCAAGCTGTGCTTAACAGTGTTTCATACACATAAAGTGTGAGAAAATCTACCAGGTAATCTGCATTTTGTACATTTTGGTCCTTCTAAGCCACCTTAGGGGGTGGGCACCAAATTTCTTCTCCTTTCTAGGGAAAAGCTGATGTCCAGAGAAAGAAAAGGAGACTCTCATTTGCAGAATCACTCAATGGCCAAGAGGAAGGCACCACTCAATGGCCCTGATGCTCAGAAGAGATGCCCAACCCATGGTGTAGACTTGTAGCATCTTTACAATTTCTTTCCTTCTTCCTTTTTAAAGAGACAGTGTCTCACTCTGTCACCCAGGCTGGAGTGCATGAACATGACTCACTGCAGCCTCAACTTCCTGGGCTCAAGTGATTCTCCCACCTTGGACTCCTAAGTAGCTGGGACTACAGGTGTGCCACCAAAACTGGGTAATTTTTTTCAGTCTTTATAGATAGGTTCTTGTTATGTTGCCCAGGCTGCTCTCAAACTCCTGGACTCAAGTGATCCTCCTGCATCAATCTCCCAAAGTACTGGGATTACAGGCATGAGCCACCATGCCCTGCCTTCTCTGCAATTTCCATAAAACAAGACAAGACGAGGGTTTAAGAGCAGTAGTCTGGTCGGAAAAAGGGACTAGGAAACTAGTGCATTTGCAGGGCACATTTGCATAGCACATGCACTTATTTTATTTTATTTTATTTTATTTTATTTTATTTTATTTTATTTTTTTGAGACTGAGTCTTCCTCTGTCGCCCAGGCTGGGATGCAGTGGTGCCATCTCGGCTCACTGCAACCTTTGCCTCTTGGGTTCAAGCGATTCTCCTGCCTCAGCCTCCCGAGTAGCTGGGATTACAGCCACCCGCTGCCACGCCCAGTTAATTTTTGTATTTTTTGTAGAGACGGGGTTTCACCATGTTGGCCAGGCTGGTCTCAAACTCCTAACATCAAGTGATCCACCCGCCTCTGCCTCCCAAAGTGCTGGGATTACAGGCGTGAGCCACAGTGCCTGGCCACACATGCACTTTTTACTTACAGTGGATATTCACTTTTAGTAATTGAGAGGGGACTGATAGAAAATATGAGATAAAAACTCCAAACAATTTTTCATATCTGCCCCTGCTGTAGCTAATGTGGACCAAGCTTAGTGTCTGCCATTCTGTAGGCTCCCATCTCACTGGTCCACACATTAATCCTGCAAGGCAAGTAATGTGATCTCCAGTGAGTGATGGAGGTGAGGCTCCATGAGGTTCATTAACTTACCTACCCCCACCTAGTGTCGCTCAGGTGATAAACGATGGAATCACAGTCCAGTTGCAGGTCTCCTGGCCCCAAAGTCAGTATCTATTTCAATGCACTCTGCTGATTGGAACCACTTCCCTGAGCCTATGTTTTAATGATCAGGGTACTCACAGTCAATTTCTTATAATTTCATACTTTATTACATAGAGCATTAGATTGTTTGATAAATGTTTCATGTGTTAGTCTTCATTCAGTCTCTCTGTGGATTGATTTCTTATGTTTTATTCACCTGAGTTCAATATTTGAGTCAAAATTCCTTTGAGTTCTTGACTCAGAAATATGCTCACATAAATATGCCCAGTTGATTTTTGACAAAGGTGCAAAAGCAATTCAACAGAGGGAGAATCACGTTTTAAACAAATGATGCCAGAGCAATTGGACATCCATGGGAAAAAAAGAACCTCGATAATATACAAAAATTAACTCAAAATGGATCAAAGACTTAAATGTAAAACATAAAACTATAAACCTTTTAAGAAAAATACATAGGAGAGAATCTTTGGGATCTAGGACTAGGCAAAAAGTTTTTAGACTTGACACCAAAAGCACAAGCCATAAAAGGAAATATAAATAAATTGTACCACATCAAAATTTAAAACTGATGCTTTGTGAAAGACCTTGTGAAGAAGATGAAAAGACAAGCTACAGGCCGGGCGCGGTGACTCACGCCTGTAATCCCAGCACTTTGGGAGGCCAAGGTGGGCGGATCACGTGGTCAGGAGTTCGAGAACAGCCTGACCAACATGGTGAAACCCCGTCTCTACTAAAAAAAAAAAAAAAGAAAAATTAGCCAGGTGTGGTGGTGTATGCTTGTAATCCCAGCTACTCGGGAGGCTGAGGCAGGAAAACGGTGTGAACCCGGGAGGCGGAGCTTACAGTGAGCTGAGATCACGCCACTGCACTCCAGCCTAGGCGACAGAGCAAGACTCCGTCTCAAAAAAAAAAAAAAAAAAAAAAAGACAAGCTACAGACTGGGAGAAAATATTTGTAAGCTACATATCTGACAGAGAACTATCAAAACTCAACGGTAAGCCAGGTGCAGTGGTGCATACCCATAGTCCTAGCTACTCAGGAGGCTGAGGTGAGAGGGTCGCTTGAGCTCAGGAATTCAAGTTCAGCCCAGGCAATAAAACAAGACCCCATCTTTAAAACAATGACAAACCCAACAGTAAAGATCCAACAATCCAACTAGAAAGTGGGCAAAAGATATGAACAGACATTTCAATGAGAGAATATGCAGATGGAAAATGAACACATGAAAAGATGCTCAGATTAGTAATTAGAGAAATGCAAATTAAAACTACAATGAGATATAACTACACATCTGGCAGAATGGCTAAAATAAAAAATAGACCAGGTGGTTCACGCCTGTAATCCCAGAATTTTGGGAGTCCAAGGTGGGAGGATCACTTGAACCCAGAAGTTTGAGATCAGCCTGGACAACATGGCAAGCGCCTGTCTTTAACAACAACAACAATAACAAAATAGCTGGACATGGTGGGGCATGCCTGTGATCCCAGCTACTCTAGAGGCTGAGGCAAGAAGATCACTTGAGTCCAAAAGGTCGAGGCTGCAGTGAGCTATGATTGTGCCACTGTACTCCAGCCTGGGTGGAGCAAGACCCTATCTCAAAAATAAAATAAAATAATAAAAACAATGATAACACCAAATGCTGGTGAGGATGCAGAGAAATTGGATCACTCATACATGGCTGGTGGGAATGCGAAATGGCAAAAACAGTGTGGAAAAAATATGACAGTTTCTTAAAAAATTAAACATACGCTTACCAATACCCAGCAGTTGTACTCTTGGGCATTTATTCCAGAGAAATGACAAACTTAACGTTCACGCAAAAATCTGTACATGACGCCTGTAATCCCAGCACTTTGGGAAGCCAAGGCAGGTGGGTCACCTGAGGTCAGGAGTTCAAGACCAGCCTGACCAACATGGTGAAACCCCATCTCTACTAAAAATACAAAAGTTAGCCAGGCATGGTGGCGGGCACCTCTAATCCCAGCTACTTGGAAGGCTGAGGCAGGAAAGTCACTTGAACCTGGGAGGCGGAGGTTGCCATGAGCCGAGATTGCACCACTGTACTCTAGCCTGGGTGACAGAGTGAGACTCAGTCTAAAAAAAAAAAAAAAAATCTGTACATGATTATCCATAGCAGCTTTATTCATAATAGTCCCAAATTGGAAACCAACCAAATGACCTTCAATGGGTGAATGTAAAACAAACTGTGGTACATCGTATCATGGACTACTACTCAGCAATAAAAAGGAAGGTGCTATTGATACCTGCAACAACTTTGTTGGATCTCAAGGAAATTATGTTGAGTGAAAAAAAAAAAAAAGTCGATCTCAAAGGGCTACATAGGCAGGGCCCGGTGGCTCATGCCTGTAGTCCCAGCACTTTGGGAGGCCAAGGTGGGCAGATCACTTGAGCCCAGGAGTTTGAGACCAGCCTGGGCAACATAGTGAAACCCTGTCTCTACAAAAAACTTCAAAAAGTATTGGTGGTGTGCACCTCTAGTGCCAACTACTTAGAAAGCTGAGATGAGAGGATCACCTGAGCCTAGGGAGGTCGAGGCTGCAGTGAGCCGTGATCACACGACTGAACTTCAGCCTGGTTGACAGAGTGAAACACTGTCTCAAGAAAAAAAAAAAAAGGCTGAGCATGGCCTTTTGGTTCATAGGCTGAAGTCTATAATGTCAGCACTTTGAGAGGCTGAGGTGGGAGGATCACTGGAGCCCAGGAGTTCAAAATGAGCCTGGGCAACAAAGTGAGACCCCATCTCTACTTATAAAATTAAAAAAAAAGAAAGGCTACATATTATGTAATTCTATTTATATAACATTCTTGAAATGACAAAATTATAGAGATGGAGAATAGATTAGTGGTTGCCAGGAGTTAGCAAGGCAGGGAGGAAGGCAGAAGGCTATGGCTATAAAAGGGTTACACAAAGTATCCTTGTGATGAAACTGTGGATGGTAGTCAAACAAATTTACCCATGATAAAATTATACTACAGAACTAGGTATACATGCAAACACACACATACACAAACACACACACACACACGAATGAATATAAAACTAGGGAAATCCAAATAAAGTTGATGGATTGTATCAATGTCAATTTCCTGATTGTGATATTGTACTATAGTTATAGAAGATGTTACCATTAGGGGAAAATGGGCAAAAGACATAGGGACCTAGGGGATCTCTCCATATGCTTTCTTACAACTGCACACAGATCTACAATTATCTCAAAATAAAAGGGTTGTGGCTGGGCACAGTGGTTCACGGCTGTAATCCCAGCACTTTGGTAGGCCGAGGTGGGTAGATCACTTGAGGCCAGCAGTTTGAAGCCAGCCTGACCAACATGGCGAAACCCCATCTCTACTAAAAATACAAACAAATTAGCTGGTGTGATGGTGCACACTTGTAATCCCAGCTACTCAGGTGACTAGGCACAAGAATCGCTTGAACCCAGGAAGCAGAGGTTGCAGTGAGCACTCCAGCCTGGGCTACAGAGTGAGACTCTGTCTCAAAATAATAATAGCAATAATAAATAAAATAAAATAAAATAGGCTGGGCGCGGTGGCTCACGCCTGTAATCCCAGCACTTTGGGAAGCCGAGGTGGGCAGATCACAAGGTCAGGAGATCGAGGCTATCCTGGCTAACATGATGAAACCGTCTCTATTAAAAATTCAAAAAATTAGCTGGGCATGGTGGCACACGCCTGTAGTCCTAGCTATGCGGGAGGCTGAGGCAGGAGAATCGCTTGAACCCAGGAGGCAGAGGTTGCAGTGAGCCAAGATGGCTCCACTGCACTCCAGCCTGGGTGACAGAGTGAGACTCTGTCTCAAAAAAAATAATAAAATAAAAAATAAAATAAAAAGGTTTTGTTTTGGTTTGGTTTGGTTTAGGTTTTAATTCTTTTGAGTTTTTGGCCCAAGATGGTTCATTTCAGGGATTAAGGTGCACTGGCCATTCGTCAAGATCACCTCATAGCTTTTGGCAAAGCCTATGTCTGCCAGGCACAGTGCTAAGTGCCCTTCATAGATTATCTCTTTTAATAGAACCTAGTAAAGTTGGAAGCATTGTTATTATATACCCACTTAACAGATGAGGAAACAAGCTCAGCAAAGTCAAGTCATATGCTCCAATCTTTATAGCCATTAAAAGCCAGGAAAAAAACCAGAGTCTCTGAGTCTAAGCCCACACCCTTACCCTCTACACTATACCTCCTCTCTGATTAGATGCCACATGGCATTGATCTTTGGCACAGACTAGCTTTGAACCTAGGACAAAACACCAGGGCTCTCCTTTGAGTTCTACTAGGATAGCAGTACGGTGGAAAGAACACTACACCATTCCACTAGATTCCTCTAGACCATTCCAATTACCAAGACTAAGTTTAAGTCCCAGTGCCATCACTTGGCGGCTTTGTAGCCTTAGAAAAGTCACTTCTGTGGGAGCTTAAGTCTCTCATCTTTAAACCAGAGCTTGTAATTCCAGCCCTGTTGGTGGATCAAATGAAGTAATGTATTTTAAAGGGCTTTGGACACTCCAAAGGGGGCAGTTATTATTAATAACAGGGCACTGTGAAGTAAATTCTAAATATAGGCCACTCACTCCTATTTATCTTCTGGTTTGATGGTAAATGCTTTGAAGGCTTGAGCTGAGTTTTGGCCTTTTATTTTATCCTAACCTCTCCTTTATAAAGTGCTCTCCCAAAATGGTAGATTTCTAAAAGTTTTTGTTAACTGTAATATTGATAGAAATGTGATCAGAATGCAAAAAGAAAAAGAAAAGTATTTATGGTAAAAATAAAGAACTCTGTGCTTTAACTGCATTTTTCTTGTAAATTGTGAAGAGAACTCAGAATGGTCTCAGCCAAAACTCAGCTCTTGAATTTCCTGCCTTACCCCAGGTAAACTCCTTATTTTCAGTTTTGGAATTGTGGGTTCTATCTTTCCAGGGGCATGGAAGAATGTGAAATTTGCAAAGTACTTTGAGGTACAACGTGTTCTTGCTATTTGTACTAACCAGAATCTGTGGCTATTTTTTGGGTAAGGTTTTTCCACATAAAACCAACCTTTTTTTCACCCTTTTCCCAGTTATGACAACTTTACAAACTCACAAACAAATTCCTCAGCTTTACTACTAATGCCAGTAACATGAACTTTAAAAATGCCTTTCATCTCCTCCCTTAAGCAACACTGCAAACAGTAATTAAAGTTCAACACCCTTGTGAAGGAGGCATCTATTATTCAACCCATTTTCCAAACAGGTAAACCCAGACTTAGAAATTATGCCAGGCGCAGTGGCTCACATCTGTAATCCCAGCACTTTGGGAAGCTGAGGTGGGTGGATCACCTGAGGTCAGGAGTTAAAGACCAGCCTGGCTAACATGGTGAAACTCCGTCTCTACTAAAAATACAAAAATTAGCTGGGCATAGTGGTAGGCGCCTGTAATCCCAGCTACCCAGGAGGCTGAGGCAGGAGAATCGCTAGAACCTGGGAGGCGGAGGCTGCAGTGAGCAGAGATCGTGCCACCGCACTCCAGCCTGGGGGACAGAGTGAGACTCTGTCTCAAAAAAAAAAGAAGGAAGGAAGGAAGGAAAGGAAATGAAATTAGAGGCCTGCCCATAGGTCAGCAGGGTTTAGAGCAGGCAGGATAGTGGAATTAAGACTTCTAGGCTTCCTAGCTCTTAGATTCACCAAGGCATGGGGCAGTAAGAGTCTATGGGTAGAAAAGTGGAGATGCCCTCTCAGAGCAGGTATTCACTGAGGTGGGGTGATCTAGAGGGGGCAGAAAGGAGAAACAGACCAGATTCAATGATACTGAAGGAAAGGAAGGAGGGAGAAAAGGAAAGAAGGAAGGAAGAAAGGGAGGGGAAAGAAGGAAGGATTTAATAATAGATGGATGGATGACAGGCAAATAGAATGAATGGATGAAAGAAGGAAAGGCTGGATGGGAGGAAGGGAGGGAGGGAGGGAGGAAGGAAGGAAGGAAGGAAAAGAGGGAGGAAGGGAGGGAGGGAAAGGTGAGCCTGAAATCACTTAGAAAAGAAAATAAATGAATTAGATCCATAAATTTGGTTGAAGGCAAGAAGGATTTTATGATGGAAAGAATAGCATGTTTAAACTGTCTGATTTTTAAATGAAGAATAGGAAGGATAAGATTTTTTTAACTTCATATTTTGAAAAAACTGTAGACTCACGAGAAGTTGCAAAATAGTACAGAGAAGTTCTGTGTACCTATCATCCAACTTCCCCCAATGGTAACATCTTACGTAACTATAGTGCATTACCAAAGTCAGGAAATTAATTGGCAATTAACAAGACTACAGACTTACTCAGATTACACTAGTTTAGGAAGCATAATATATGTTTACAATTTTATTTTACACATAAAGTACACAAATCTTAAGTGTACAGCCTGACATAGTTTTATATATGTAAACACTCATGTAACCAACATCTCTATCAAGATATAGAATGTTATCAGCCCCCAATGTTACCAACTCCCTCGTGTTCCCTATAATCAATAACTGCCTTCCCACATAACCACTTTTTTTTTTTTGAGACAGGGTCTCACTCTGTCACCCAGACTGAAGTGCAGTGGTGTGATCACAGCTCACTGCAGCCTTGACCTCCTGGGTTTAAGTGAACCTCCCACCTCAGCCTCCCAAGTAGCTGGGACTACAGGCATGTGCCACCATGCCCAGCTAATTTTTTTGTACTTTTTATAGAGATGGGGGGGTCTCATCATGTCGCCTAGGCTGGCCTCGAACTCTCAGACTCAAGCTATCTGCCTGCCTCGGCCTCCCAAAGTGCTGGGATTATAGGCATGAGCCACCTCGCCTGGCCCACTATTCTTTTATTGCTGTAGATTAGTTTGTCTTATTTTGAACTTTATATAAATGGAACCGTACAGTATATTCTCTTTTATTTTTGATATATATATATATCTGTGTCTGTGTGTGTGTGTATATGTATATATATGCATATATATCTTTTTATCGCTCTATCGCCCAGGCTGGAGTGCAATGACTCAATCATAGCTCATTGCAACCTCAAACTTCTGGGTTCAGGTGATCCTCCTGCCTCAGCCTCCTGGGTAGCTGGGACTACAGGCATGTGCCACTTTGTCTAGCTAATTAAAATATTTTTTAGGCCGGGCACGTTGGCTCATGCCTGTAATCCCAACACTTTGGGAAGCTGAGGTGGGCGGATCACGAGGTCAAGAGATTGAGACCATCCTAGCCAACATGGTGAAACCCCGTCTCTACTAAAAATAAAAAAAACTCTCCCTCTCCCTCTCCCTCTCCCTCTCCCTCCCTCTCCCTCTCTTTCCACGGTCTCCCTCTCCCTCTCCCTCTCTTTCCACGGTCTCCCTCTCATGCCGAGCCTTCTCCCTCTCCCTCTCCCTCTCCCTCCCTCTCCCTCTCTTTCCATGGTCTCCCTCTCCCTCTCCCTCTCCCTCTCCCTCTCTTTCCACGGTCTCCCTCTCATGCCGAGCCGAAGCTGGACTGTGCTGCTGCCATCTCGGCTCACTGCAACCTCCCTGCCTGATTCTCCTGCCTCAGCCTGCCGAGTGCCTGCAATTGCAGGCGCGCGCCGCCACGCCTGACGGGTTTTCGTATTTTTTTGGTGGAGAGGGGGTTTCGCTGTGTTGGCCGGGCTGGTCTCCAGCTCCTAACCGCGAGTGATCCGCCAGCCTCGGCCTCCCGAGGTGCCGGGATTGCAGACGGAGTCTCGTTCACTCAGTGCTCAATGGTGCCCAGGCTGGAGTGCAGTGGCGTGATCTTGGCTACAACCTCCACCTCCCAGCCGCCTGCCTTGGCTCCCCAAAGTGCCGAGATTGCAGCCTCTGCCCGGCCGCTACCCCGTCTGGGAAGTGAGGAGCGTCTCTGCCTGGCCGCCCATCGTCTGGGATGTGAGGAGCCCCTCTGCCTGGCTGCCCAGTCTGGAAAGTGAGGAGCGTCTCTGCCCGGCCGCCATCCCACCTAGGAAGTGAGGAGCGCCTCTTCCCGGCCACCATCCCATCTAGGAAGTGAGGAGCGTCTCTGCCCGGCCGCCCATCGTCTGAGATGTGGGGAGCGCCTCTGCCCCACCGCCCCGTCTGGGAGGTGAGGAGCGTCTCTGCCCGGCCGCCCCGTCTGAGAAGTGAGGAGACCCTCCGCCTGGCAACCGCCCCATCTGAGAAGTGAGGAGCCCCTCCGCCCGGCTGCCATCCCGTCTGGGAAGTGAGGAGCGTCTCCGCCCGGCAGCCACCCCATCCGGAAGGGAGGTGGGGGTCAGCCCCCGCCAGGCCAGCCGCCCCGTCCGGGAGGGAGGTGGGGGGTCAGCCCCCGACCCGGCCAGCCACCCCTTCCGGGAGGTGAGGGGCGCCTCTGCCCGGCCGCCCCTACTGGGAAGTGAGGAGCCCCTCTGCCCGGCCAGCCACCCCGTCCGGGAGGGAGGTGGGGGAGTCAGCCCCCCGCCCGGCCAGCCGCCCCGTCCGGGAGGGAGGTGGGGAAGTCAGCCCCCCGCCCGGCCAGCCGCCCCGTCCGGGAGGGAGGTGGGGGAGTCAGCCCCCCGCCCGGCCAGCCGCCCTGTCCGGGAGATGAGGGGCGCCTCTGCCCGGCCGCCCCTACTGGGAAGTGAGGAGCCCCTCTGCCCGGCCACCACCCCGTCTGGGAGGTGTACCCAACAGCTCATTGAGAACGGGCCATGATGACAATGGCGGTTTTGTGGAATAGAAAGGGGGGAAAGGTGGGGAAAAGATTGAGAAATCGGATGGTTGCCGTGTCTGTGTAGAAAGAAGTAGACATGGGAGACTTTTCATTTTGTTCTGTACTAAGAAAAATTCTTCTGCCTTGGGGAAAAAAAATAAAAATAAAAATAAAAATAAAAATAAAAATATTAGCTGGGCGTGGTGGCGTGCGCCTGTAGTCCCAGCTACTCGGGAGGCTGAGGCAGGAGAATCACTTGAACCCAGGAGGCGGAGGTTGCAGTGAGCTGAGATCGCGCCACTGCACTCCAGCTTGGGCAACAGAGCGAGACTGTCTCAAAAAAAAAAAGTAAGAGGGTAGAAAGAACATATGCTGCCACTTGGGAAAATATATGGCTGGAGGAAAATAAACAATGCTTATATTGTTAGATTGTTGCATATTTATTTTCTTTCCATTTTTAATAATACAGTCTTTTTAAATTTGTGGTTATGTGAGTCTAAAATATTTGTGTATGTAAGTATATATTTGATGTATTAACATAATAATATTAACATACCATATTAACATACCGTAACACATGAACTAATTATTTTTCCATTTTTTATTTTTTTAGAGATGGGGTCTCACTATGTTGCCCAGGCTGGAGTGCAATTGCTGTTCACAGGTGTGATCATAGTACACTGCAGCCTCAAACTCCTGGCCTCAAGATGTCCTCCCATCTTGGTCTACCAAGCAGCTGGAATTATAGACGTGGCTTTCACTTTTATATATAATATAAAACCTGAGATTTCATTAACTCCCAATGTACCCTCAATTCAAATTATTAGACACTTTGAAGCCAGCTAATATTTATTCAACAAATACTGAGCACCTTCTCTGTGCCAGACACAAGCCTTGGCCCTGAGGACATGATTGGTGAACTAGACATAGTACTTGAATGTCTAGGAATTTATCACCTGCTGCGAGGGACAAACACATCAATAGACGAGTACAAGGCAATGTGCTAAGGTTTATTTTAGGCAACTTGGGAACTTACAGGAGGAACCTTACTCAGTTTGAGAAAGTCAGAAGGGCTTCCTAGAGGACATGGCACTCAGCTGAGACCTGAAAGATGATTCTAAGTATACCAGGTACAAGGGGAACAGGAGTAGGAAGAACATCTCCTGCAGTGGGACCAGCTGGGATACAGGCATGGGAGCTAGAGGGGTGAGATGGTCATGGAGTCACAGTTGACTCAACGGTGGGTGTTTATGGGACAAGATAAGATACAGTTGAAGAGGTTTAAATGCCCCACACAGTTCCTTGAACTGCCATGGAGAACCATTACAAAATATCAATCTGGGGCTCGTCAGTAACCATTCTATTTTGTTCCAAATTGCCCAGATATGCCTAACCATAAACTGAGATATTGACAAATATGTATAAACTGGGCTGTTTTCATGCCCTGCTGGCACTGCTGATTTTCTGTTACGGAGCTAAAGGATTGTCAAAGGCAAAAAGTATTGGGCCTGCGGGTCTCATTGGCAATCCACAAGGAGCAAGCTTTCAGCCCGGGGAAGTGGCCAAGGGCCCTATTAGGAGGAGGACACAGTAGGTGGCTGGGCAGGGGCCAGAGGGATGAGAAAATGAGGCACTCATCCAAACAGCGTCAGGGATTATCAGTGGGCATTGGCAGAGGGCACAGAGCCCAGGGGAGCAGAGACGTATTATGACATGTCTGTCTATAGTCAGTAGGGAAACAGCAAGGCCACTAGAGACAAGGAGACAGCCCATTCTCCAGCTTCCTCTTACTATCTCTGCAAAAGCTGCTTTGTGCCTTGTCACTGGCAAGCCACCCCAATGAAACACTCGATGACCGAGTGGCGTTGAGAACACACCAGTAGTAGCCTGATACATTGGTCAGAACCACAGGAGCTCAGCTAGAGGCATAGCCGCCTTCTCTCTTTGGCTGGTGACATGTTGATAAAGTTCTCAAGTCCTGCAGTCAGCCCCTGACAGCTTCTCTGGGCAACGGTTCATGTTGGGACGCTTCTGCCACCCTCCTGCCCACCCCAGGCACAGCAGCTGGCGGGCTGCTGCCTCCTGCCAGGAAAGGTCTGGACCTCGCTGGAAATTCAGAAGCTTGACTTTCAGTCCCTTAGTGCAGCATCCTCTGAGCACAGCCCCTGATCAGCAGGCAGGAGGCCAATTTAAAAACACAAAACATACTTATTTCTCACATGTCTAAAAAGTGTATAGACAAATCTAAATCTCAGACCAGGTAAAATCTTTGACTTATCCTAGATTCCCCTAAAAGTAGAGTCTGAGTCCGGGCAGGATGGCTCACGCCTATAATCCCAGCACTTTGGGAGGCTGAGGCAGGCAGATCACCTGAGGTCAGGAGTTCAAGACCAGCCTGGCCAACATGGCGAAACCCTGTCTCTACTAAAAATACAAAAATTAGCCGAGTGTGGTGGCACATGCCTATAGTCCCGGCTACTCAGGAGGCTGAGGCAGGAGAATCACTTGAACCCGGGAGGCGGAGATTGCAGTGAGCCAAGATCACATGACTCCACTCCAGCCTGGGCAACAGAGCAACTCAGTCTTAAAAAAAAAAAAAGAAAAAAAATTGTCTTGGTGCAGTGGATCACGCCTGTAATCCCAGCACTTTGGGAGACCGAGGCGGGCAGATCATGAGGTCAAGAGATCGAGACCATCCTGGCCAACATGGTGAAACCTTGTCTCTACTAAAAATACAAAAATTAGCTGGGCGCTGTGGTGCGCACTTGTAGTCCCAGCTACTTGGGAGGCTGAGGCAGAAGAATCACTTGAACCTGGGAGGCAGAGGTTGCAGTGAGCTGCGACTGCGCCACTGCACTCTAGCCTGGTGACAGAGCGAGAGTCTACCTCAGAAAACAATACAAAAAACAAACAAACAAAATCAGTCTCAGTATTCTGTTATAGCAACACAAAATGGACTAAGACATGTGTTCAGCATCCCTCCCTCCATTTCTGGGAACAGCATCTCTATTTTGGGATTGGGAAACCACTCTCTCACTTCCAGTTCCTGTGATTGGGTGAGGCTAACCTCTCCTCGTTCCCAAGACACCAACTCCAAGGGTTGCTCAAGTCCCAGGTCCAGCCGATCAACACAGCCTGTTCCTCCCTGCCAGCTACAATGATGAGTTCAGGACCAGTCCCTAGATCATAGGTGCTTAGATCTTCATTTCAGTACTCACACAGCCATGTATTTTGGGAATGCGATTCCATCCCATGGGTAGGACCTGAGAGGCTTAAACTAACCAGTTTAAGTACATCCATTCCACTGAATGAAGACACTAATTTTGGAGTGAGCATGTGACCAAAGTGGCCCAGCCAGCCTGACTCTCAAGACTGCCTTGGAATGCTGGAACACGTGTGTTCTTTCTGTGCTCATGGGAAGAAGGAAACCCATGGTGCCAGCTGCTGCTGGAGGGCATCTTAAGACCCCAAGGTGAACCAGTCTCAGTAGAACACCTCACTATATATGGCAGAGCACAAAGACAAAACCAGTGCCTGAGGACACAGGTGAGTTGTTGCATCAGCCAAACTCGAAGCTCGACTTACTTCTGGATCTCCAGTTATGTGAATCAATCGTTCCCCTTCACTGTTTAAGTCCATTTATGGTGGATATTTTGCTACCTGCAAGCTGAATGCAAACCTAACCAAGCCTGAACTTAAACCTAAAAGAGAACCATTAGTTCATGTAATAGAAAGGTCCCAGGCTGGATGCGGTGGCTCATGCCTGTAATCCCAGCACTTTGGGAGGCCGAGGCAGGTGGATCACCTGAGGTAAGAGTTGGAGACCAGCCTGGCCAACATGGTGAAAGCCCGTCTCTACTAAGAATACAAAAATTAGCCCGGCATGGTGGCACATGCCTGTAATCCCAGCTACTTGGGAGGCTGGGGTAGGAGAATTGCTTGAATCCAGGAGGTGGGGGCTGAAGTGAGCCAAGATCGTGCCACTGCACTCCAGCCTGGGTAACAGTCGGAGACTCTGTCTCAAAAAATAAATAAATAGAAGAAAAGTCCCAGGGTAGAGACACTCCGAATAAGCTGAGGCTTTACATCCATGATCTCATTTGATTGCCTTCTCATACTGGTGACTACTATTCAGATCCCCCTTCAGTAGATGAGAAAAAAAAATATTTAAAAAATTGATGGCACTTACCCAGTAGTTCTCAAGCAGAAGAAATGTTGTGCCCCTCCCCCCAACCCAGGAGACTAGGGACACTGGATAATGTCTACAGACATTTTTGGTTGTTGTAACTTGGGGGTGGGGAAGGGGAAGGAGGGAGCTGTGGTACTGGCACCTGGTGAGTAGAAGCCAGAAATGGTACTCAATATCCTATAATGCATGGAACAGTCTCCCACAACAAGGAATTATCCAGGCCAAAATGTCAGTAGAGCTGACATTGAGAAACCCTGCTTGATTAAATCCAGGGTCACTTGGATGGTAGGCTCAGATTCAAACCCAAGTCACTCCACAGAATGCTGCTTGAGCCCACTCTAAATATGCAATACATCCCTATGCCAGAGTCAGCCAAAGGGTGGCTACAGCTAAGGCTCAGGAAAGCGAGAGGTCTGAGAGCCCAGGGGTAATGGAGCCCAGCCACTTCAGGGCCACCATAATCTTGTACCTACTTCACCCTCTGTCAAGTGCATTTCAGGGTGAGCCCCTTGTGGATTCCTGTATAATTTATTGGCCGTGGTGGCCTGTGCTTTGGAGGACCTAGGGATGTCTGTGGCTCCATGCCCAGGGTCCCAGTTCCATTTCCATTTCTACCTATTTGCCTGGCATTTGCTCTCCAAAATTGGAAATTAATAATTCATTGTGCAGGATGAATAATTCAGCAGCAAGGACAAAGGGCCAATGGCAGTGGTTGGCATCACAAAATCAGTCTATGTTTTCTTCTAAAGGGAGAGGGGACTGGGTGCTGTGGCTCATGCCTGTAATTCCAGCACTTTGGGAGGCTGAGGCAGGTGGATCACCTAAGGTCAGGAGTTCAAGACCAGCCTGGCCAAGATGTCAAAACTCCATCTCTACTAAAAAATGTAAAAATTAGCCATGTGTGGTGGTGCATGCCTGTAATCCCAGCTACTTGGGAGGCTGAGGCAGGTTGAACCCAGGAGATGGAGGTTGCGGTGAGCCGAGATTGTGCCATTGCACTCCAGCCTGGGTGACAGAGTGAGACTCCATCTCAAAAAATAAAAATAAAAATAAAAATAAAAAATTAGCCAGGTGTGGTGGCACACTCCTGTAGTCCCGGCTGTTTGGGAGGCTGAGCATCAAGGATCACTTCAGCCTGGAAGGCTGAGACTGCAGTTAGCTGTGATTGTGCCACTGCAGTCTAGCCTGGGTAACACAGCAAGAATCTGTCTCAAAAAAATGAAATAATGGGCCAGCCGCAGTAGCTCACACCTGTAATCCCAGCACTTTTGGAGGCCCATGTGGGCAGGTTGCTTGAGCTCAGGAATTAGAGACCAGCCTTGGCAACTTGGCAAAGTTTCATCTCCATTAAAAACAAATAAATAGCCAAATAGCCGGGTGCAGTGACTCATGCCTGTAATCCCAGCTACTCAGGAGGCTGAGGCAGGAGAATCACTTGAACCCAGGAGGCAGAGGTTGCAGTGAGCCGAGATCATGCCATTGCACCCCAGCCTGGGTGACAGAGTCAGACTCTGTCAAAAAAAAAAAAAAAATATATATATATAAAATAAAAATTAAAAGAAAATAAAATAATAAAAAATAAAGGGAGACGGGGCTGGGTGCAGCAACTCACACCTATAATGTAATTCCAGCACTTTGAGAGGCCGAGGCAGGAGGATCACTTGAGCCCAGGAGTTTGAGACCAGCCTGGGCAACATAGTAAGATCTCATCTCTAAAAAAAAAAAAAAAAAAAAAAAATTAGTCGATGCCTGTAGTCTTAGCTACTTGGCAGGCTGAGGCAAGAAGATCACATGAGGCCAGGAGTTCAAGGCTGCAGTGAGCCATGGTCACACCACTACACTCCAGCTTGAGTGAGAGTGGGAACCCAACTCAAAAAAATAAAAAATAAAATAAAGGGAAAGGGAAAAAGAAACTCTACATCCAAGATGATCTCTGGACGAAAATGACACCAAATACTGGACAATTTAAACAAGCTCCCCTTTTGGGAATGGGCATTGGTGAAGACATTGGGGCTGCCTGAAGGGAATTCTGGACTGTGTTTCCCTCCCCACATCACTTTTAGCCTCTTGAACCTTCACAGTCCATTATAGCCCAGCTTGATTGGCACCTGCTCCTGGAAGCTTTCCCTGACGTCCCTAACCAACTGAAGCTGAGAATATATTTCTCTCTGATTCCATGTATTAGCCACTGACCATTGCCCTGACCACTGCCTGCCTCACAGCCTCACACTAAGCCATGTTTCTGTCACCAGAGATTCTTGGGCCTTAAGATGGCTTTTCTAGCTAGAAGGGAAGAAGAGGTTCAGCAGGGTGCTGGCGTGAGTTGCTCTTAGACTTTTGAGGATGTTTCTTTGAGAATCAGATGAAGCCTCTCAGTCTCTCTACTGAAAAATATTCCCCAAACACAACTGTGTATAATTCAAGGGGGACACAGATCTTGGGAGCCCCTTCATGGACTTGGGTTTAGAATTTGTGCCTCATGGGGAGCCTTCTGTTAAGAAGAGGAACTACAGTTGTTCAGAACGTGTGCTATGGTTTGAATGTGTCCCCTTCAAAATTCAGGTGTTGCCAATGTGACAGTATTAAAAGGTGGAGCCTTTACGAGGTGATTGAGTCATGAGGGCACGGCCCTCATGAATAGGATTAGGTGCCCTCATGAAAGGATTTTTTTTTTTTTTTTTTTTTTGCTCTTGTTGCACAGGCTGGAGTGCGTTGTCACAATCTTGGCTCACTGCAATCTCCGTCTCCCGAGTTCAAGCAATTCTCCTGCTACAGCCTCCCAAGGAGCTGGGATTACAGGCACCTGCCACTACACCCAGCTAATTTTCTGTATTTTTAGTAGAGATGGAGTTTCACCATTTTGGCCAGGCTAGTCTTGAACTCCTAACCTCAGGTTATCCACCCACCTCGGCCTCCAAAAGTGCTGGGATTACAGGCGTGAGCCACCGGGCCCAGCCTCATAAAAGAATTTGATGGAGGGAGTTCAACCCTCCTGCCCTTCTTCCTTCTGCCATGCAAGGATGCACTGTTCCTTCTCTCTGAAGGATACAGCAACATGGCGCCATCTTGGAAGCAGAGAGCAAGGCCTCACCAGACAACCAAACCTACTAGTGCTTTAATCTTGGACTTCCCAGCCTCCTGAACCATTAGAAATAAATTTATGTTCTTTGTAAATATCTCAGCCTCAAGTGTTCTGTTTTAACAGCACAAACGGACTAAGACAGCATGGAAAACAACTCAATCTCTCAGTTTTGCCTCTCCTCAAAATGGCCCTGTCTCAGGGCCAAGGTATTTTAAGGAAGTCAGTAATCAGCAAGGAGCTATTAGATGCCTTCTTTGTGACCCTGGGCAAGTCATTGCCCATCTCTGGACCATGGTTTTTTACTTGGAATTGGAAGAGTTGGTCTAGATTATCCTAGCACTTTGATTCAATCATCAGCCAGCAAATATTTAATGCACACTGTAAGATGCCAGGTACCAAGCTAAGCACTGGGGATAAGGTTGGTGAACAAAACAGATGAGGTCTCTAATTTGTCAGAACACATAGCCTAATGAAGGAGTCAATCACTGATTGACCACACAATAAATACAAGAAGATAAGCTGTGACCAGTGACACACAAGGGAAGTGAAGGGAGCTAACTAGGAATGTGTATATCAGGAAAGTGATTATAACCTGGGAAAAAATGAGATGAAGAGGAGGCTTTACCTTGACAAGGAGAGCAGGGGGTTATTTCAGGCCGAGGAAGCAGCATGGGCTAGTGCCCTGAGGTGTGAAGGGGCCATTGTACTCAAGGAATTAGGTCAGAGCAGCTGCATACTGAAATCTCTGGGGACTGTGCAAGCCCAGAGAGTAGATACCCAGCAAGAAGAGAAAGTAGGGTTCCCCTCTTTTCTTGATGGTCAAGGCAAATCTTCCAGTAACTTATTTTCAAACTCTCTCAAGGAAAGCTAAAGAGCTGGCGATATTCCACTGGATTGAAACCCCAGGTTTAATGGCCAAAACCACTAAGTGTCAATATTTCCCATCACCAGCGTAGCCCAGAGACATCTTGAAATTCCTCCCTTTCAGATCCTACATGGAAAGTACAAGATGTGGCTGGGCATGGTGGCTCACACCTGTAATCCTAACACTTTGGGAGGCTGAGCTGTGAGGATCGCTTGAGTCCAGGAGTTTGAAACCAGCTTGGGCAACAGAGCAAGACCTCATCTCTAAGAAAAAAATTTTTTTACATAGCTGGGCACAGTGGCTTGTGCCTGTAATTCCAGCCATTCAGGAGCCTGAAGCAGGAGGATCACTTGAGCCAGGAGGTCAAGGCTTCAGTGAGCTGTGATCACTGACACTGCACTTTAGCCTGGGCAGCAGAGCAAGACCCTGTTTCAAAAAAAAAAAAAAGTTCAAGATGCTACCAAATAAAAAATGTTAAATCTTGACGTGAAGCAAAATGTTCGCTGACCCAACCCCCTCTGAATTTAAACCATGTCCCAGCCCTTGAGGAATTGTTTCTACCTCCTGGTTCTGTGGCTTTATTGTCCCACCCTGATGATTATAGAGAGACCTGAACATGCCAACTGCCACTTTGATGGGTGGTCTGAGTGCAGAGTCTCCAGGCTGCATGGAGGCAGACAGAACCACCCTTTCATCTCCCTGGGTGGGGCTTTAGGCTAGAGCCAGCATGAAAGCTTTGGTTCCAGTGCCCATTCTGCCATCCCCCCGACTGCTGGGTGACTCTAAAAAGGCCCCATTCCCTCTTTGGGCCTCAGTTTCCTTATCCATACAATGAGAGGTTTGAATTACATGTTCTGTAAGAGTTTTCTTCAATTTGGGGGTTCTCTGCCCTCTGATTTCTAAAATGTGTTAACTCTGACTTTTTTTTTCATCTTTCTGACTGTTGTTCACAGACCAGTGACAGGAGGCAAGACAACTACTATTTGTAAATTATAATGAATGGATAATTAGCTGCCTTCAAATTAAAGCTCTTTTCCTGGAAGCCAGGAGACCTGGTTTTTAAGTTGTTTACCATTATCGTCACTTAACGCTGTTTTCTCTCTAAAACCAAAAGGGGTAGGAGACAATGACAAGCAGATGTTTTGTTATTAGGGGCCCTCGGGGATGATTTGAGACTTTTCACTGCAGTGATCATTCTCTAGATTCTTCTGGAGTCAGCAGAAGCTTTGATGAACTCAACAGAGGCCAGGGGGATTGGACAGACACAGAACGGAGGCCTGTTGAAAGAAAGCCTGGCTTAACAGAAAGCTGCTGGGGACAGCAGTTCCTGGCTGAGGACAGTGTGGATTATGAAATTAATATATTTATGTAACACTTTGCAGAGAGATTTCAACTGCCATTATTTCATTTTCTCATGAGGACACTTTGCCAATGTTTGAGCTCACACCACTATCACTTCTCACATGAATCTTTTTCATTAAATTGTCTCGCTGTCTGTGGTGGATTTCCTGTTAAAATGGTCACCAAAGATCTATAAGACAGAAAATAGACTAGTAGTTGCCCATGGATGGGGAGAAGAACTAATTCCTCTCCACTTGAATCAGAGCTGGCCTTGTAACTTGCTTTGACCAATAGAATGTGGACAAAGTAATAGTGTGGCGTTCCAGAGCCTAGGGCTTAAGAAATATGGCAACTTCATTCATCCCTGAGAGGTCTTACAAAGATAAATACACACACACATACATAAAAAGAAATATGGCAGCTTCGGCCAGGCACTGCGGCTCACGCCTATAATCCCACCACTTTGGGAGGCCAAGGCAGGTGGATCACCTGAGGTTGGGAGTTTGAGACCAGCCTGACCAACATGGAGAAACCCCATCTCTACTAAAAATACAAAATTAGCCAGGCATGGGGGTGCATACCTGTAATCCCAGCTACTCAGGAGGCTGAGGCAGGCGAATCGCTTGAACATGGGAGGTGGAGGTTGTGGTGAGCCAAGATCAGGCCATTGTACTCCAGCCTGGGCAGCAAGAGAGAAACTCCATCTCAAAAAAAAAAAAAAGAAAGAAAGAAAAGAAAATAAATATGGCAGCGTCTTGACTAGGCACAGTGGCTACTGCCTGTAATCCCAGCAATTTGGTTAGCCAGGGCAGGTAGATCACTTGAGCCCCAGAGTTCGAGACCAGCATGGGCAACATGGCGGAACCCCATATTTACAAAAAATACAAAAATTAGTCGGGCATGGTGACATGCGCCTGTGGTCCCAGCTACTTGGTGGGGCTGAGGCAGGAGAATTGCTTGAGCCCAGGAGGTCGAGGCTGCAGTGAGTCGTGTTCACACCACTGTACTCCAGCCTGGGTGACAAAGTGAGACCCTGTCTCAAAAAAACAAAAATCAGGCCAGGCACAGTGACTCACACCTGTAATCTCAACACTTTGGGAGGCTGAGGCCTGGCCAACATGGTACAACCCCGTCTCTACTAATATACAAAAATTAGCTAGGCGTGGTGACAAGTGCCTATAATTCTAGCTACTCTGGAGGCTGAGGCAGGAGAATCGCTTGAACCCAGGAGGTGGAGGCTGCAGTGAGTTGAGATCATGCCACTGCACTCCAGCCTGGGTAACAGAGTGAGACCCAGTCTCAAAAAAAAAAAAAAAAAGAAATATGTTTTCCATTTTTCCATTTTTACCCTCTTGGGGTCTAAACCACCACATAGAAGCTCCGGCTATACCAATGTTTCTCAAGCTGATCATTATTAATACTTTGGGTCAGATAGTTCTTTGTGGTGAGGCTGTTCTGTGCATTGTAGGATGTTTTGCAGCATCCCTGGCCTCTAATTCCTAGTTCCTCCAGTAGTGACAACCAGAAATGTCTCCAGACACTGCCATATGTCCCCTGTGGGAGAAAATCACCCCTGCTTGAGAACTACTGGACTAGACTACTGAATGATGAGAGAGACCATGTGGCAAGAGAGCCCCACCCAGCTGCCAGCTATTCCAGCTACCCCAGCTCAGATGCCAGACATATGAATGATGCCGTCTGGGACGTTCCAGCCTCAAATGAGCACCTAACTCAATGTAACCAAATGATAACATCAGCTGACACTATGTGGAGCAGAAGAACCACTCAGCTTAGCCCAGCCAATTCACAGAATCATGAGACATAATACATCTTTGTAAGCCACTAAATTTGGGGATAGTTTATCATGCAGCTACAGATAACTGCAACACAGGCCTAGCTCCATTCTTTTTTCTTTTTTTTAAGGCAGGGTCTTGCTCTGTCAGCCAGTCACCCAGGCTGGAGTGCAGTGGCATCATCATGGCTCACTGCGGCCTCAACCTCCTGGGCTCAAGTGATCCTCCTGCCTCAGCTTCCCAAGTAGCTGGTACTAGAGGCATGAGCCACTACCTGGCTTTTTGTATTTTTTTTGAAGAGACAGGGCCTCTCTATGTTGCCTAGGCTGGTCTCAAACTCCTGGGCTCAAGTGATTCTCCCATCTTGGCCTCCCAAACTGTTGAGATTACAGATGTGAGCCACTGCACCAGCCCTAGCTCCATTCTTGCTATCATCTATCCTGTCCACTGCCATGGCTAGTAGAGTTATCTTTTTTCCTTTTATTCTTTTCACAAGACTACCTACCATTGAATACTAGAGTTATCTTTCTAAAAATTCCTCAGCTCCCTTCAAACACTCCAGGACCTTCCCCACCATCAGCTCCTTAGCATGGTCCACAAAGCCCTCTATAATCTGGTCTCTCCATAAAATGCCCTTAAACTCTGAGATTCAAGCTATACATGTTTACTTGCAATTACCTGAATGGTCTATCTTCTTTTACACCTCTGGGTCTTTGCTCCTTTCCTTGTTATGTTCTAGTAACCTGTCAGCTCCTAGATTTCCTGAAAACTCAGATTAAACAGCATCCTCTCCAGAAAGTCCATGCATATCCTACTACATAAGATGCTTTTCCTGGCCGGGGGTGGTGGCTCACACCTGCAATACTAGTTGGGAGGCCGAGGTGGAAGGATCACTTGAGCCTAGGAGTCCCAGGCTGCAGTGAGCAATGATGGTGCCACTGAGACCTTGTCTCAAAAAAAAAAAAAAAAAAAAGCTTTTGGCCAGGCACGGTGGCTCACGCCTGTAATCCCAGCACTTTGGGAGGCTGAGGCAGGTGGATCACCTGAGGTCAGGAGTTCAAGACCAGCCTGGCCAACATGGTGAAAACCCATCTCAACTAAAAATACAAAAAAAATTGCGGGGCATGGTGGCGGGCACCTGTAATCCCAGCTACTTCAGGAGGCTGAGGCAGGAGAATCGCTTGAACCTGGGACGCAGAGGTTGCAGTGAGCTGAAATTGCGCCATTACACTCCAGCCTGGGCGACAAGAGCAAAACTCTGTCTCAAAAAAAAAAAAAGCTTTTTCACTTATGACCTCAAAACATCATGTATGTGCCTATCACAATACTTCTTAAACCATGCTATAATTTATGTATCATTCATATTTCTGACAAGACTGTGAAAACCCTGAAGGCTGGAACTGAATCATTGCTTTATTGATGATAACTGGCACATAGTAGGTGCTCAATGAATGTTTGTTGCTGAGTGATTATAGTAGGTTGAACAAGTATTATTATACAGCCAAGGAAACAGAGGCTTAGATAAGCTAAGCAATTTGTCCCAGTTTGCCTAGTAATTAAGGGATATAAATGGGCTTAACACCTAGATCATTAGACTCTACAGCCAATCCATCAGCTACCTCTTTACCATGTACCTCTCCAGAACACCACTGGTCTAGTTAAAGAGTACCAATTGGTGGCTACCCAAGGTACACCTGGTCTATCCGTAAGCTAATATCTCCTTGTCCCTAATCTAGCAACTTGAAATGCCAGCCACTGTTTCTGGTCATGAGCTTGAACAGTTAGCAATTTCACACCTCTTGCCCTAGTGGGTACCAGTCATAATCTTTAGAAAAGGCTGGTCAACTAAACATGAGGAGGACTGAGCATCTAAAAGTTGTAGTAGGACAGAAGCCCAACTCAAATGGCTTAAGCGAAACAGGCATGAGAAAAGCCTCAGGGTACCTGAATTCAGATTTGCCTAGATCCAGAGTTCAAATCATGTCATCTGTCTCTTTCATTCTCTCTCTGCTTGTCATTCCTTTTCTTGGCTCTCCTGTTCTTTGAGCTAGCTTCATTCTCAGGTTCTAGGTGGTGGCCTCCAGCCAGTAAAAGCTTAGTTCATTCTTACTGCTAACAATCTCATCAGAAAGAGAGCTTCTCTTTCCTTTTGATTTCAAATAAAGATACCAGAATTGGGTATCACTGGATAGATTTGGCAGACTGGACGGAATGGCTTATGTCTATAATCCTAGCACTTTGGGAGGCTGAGGTGGGAGGGTCACTTGAGACCAGAAGTTCGAGACTGGCCTGGGCCATATAGATCCTGTCTCTTAAAAACAAACAAACAAACAAACAAACAAAAGATTTGAACATCACGTATCCACTCTTGAGCCAATCACTGTGGCTGAAGGTTTAGAATATGCCAGGCTCATATTAGATTGATGTGGCAGCTTCCAAGATGGCCCCCAGTGATCCTGCCTTCTGATATCCATGCCCTTGGATAGTAAGACCCCCTCCCACACTGAGTCAAGACTGGCCTATGCGACCAGTAGAAATGCGGCTGAAGTGATAATTTGTGACTTCCAAAGCTAGGTCACAAAGACATTGGTGCTTCTGCTTTGATCTCTTAGATTGTTCCCTTTGAGAGATGCCAGGGGACATGTGGTGGGGACACTCAACTAGCCCCATAGAGAGGAACTGAGGCCCCTTGCCAATAGCCAGTACCAGCCTGGCAGTCATGTGAGTAAATGATCTACCATGGAAGTGGATCCTTCAACTCTAATCAAGCCTTCAGTCCTAGCTGACATCTGATTGCATCTTCCTGAGAGACCCTAAGCCAGAACCACCCAGCCAAGCCACTTTGGAACTCCCAACCCACAGACAACATATGGGATAATAAACTATTTTTAAAAATTGAGGTGGGGTTTCGCTATGTTGCCTGGGCTAGTCTTGAACTCCTGGGCCCAAGTTATCCTCCCACATTGGCTCTCAAAGTGCTGGGATTACAAGTGTGAGACACTGCACCTGGCCTAAAAAACTATGATTACTGTTTTGTTTTGTTTAGATGGAGTCTTGCTCTGTTGCCCAGGCTGAAGTGCAGTGGTGTGGTCTTGGCTCACTGCAACCTCTGCCTCCTGGGTTCAAGCAATTCTCCTGCCTCAGCCTCCCAAGTAGCTGGGACTATAGGCATACGCCACCATGCCCGGCTAATTCTTTGGATTTTTAGTAGAGACGGTGTTTCACCATGTTAGCCAGGATGGTCTGGATCTCCTGACCTCGTGATCTGCCTGCCTCAGCCTCCCAAAGTGCTGGGATTACAAGCGTGAGCCACAGTGCCTGGCCTATTACTGTTTTAAACTACTGTATTGTGGGATGATTTCTTGCATAGCCCCAGATGACTAATACAATTTTGGACACTTAAACTCTGGGTAAGGGGTCAACCCCACTCCACACATATTGAAATGGGAGTGACAGTTCCCTAAGGAGTGATCAAGTTGCTATTGGTAGGAAAACAGAGGAAATAAACACTGGATGCCAAACAACAGCTAATCTCAACAATGAGTGCTCTGCAAACACATGCTTGCTGGAGGACTGATGTGCAAAAGAAGGGAACACTGATTCATCTGAGGTGACTCAGAGTGTCTGGGCCAGGCAAGACTCAGACCTAGATATTTCAATGTCTATTTCGTGGCACCGAATATTGACAGTTTTCTCCCTAGTTACCCCTACACTTTGTTGGTTTTAAGAACCATGGACACTCCTCTCTTTTGCCAACCCAAACTATTGTTCTTAAATTAGTTGTTTTTCTTTTAATCTAGAGGAGAAGCCAGGCCAAGAAATTACTCTGTATTTGCATGTTTGCAAATGACTTATGCATGATTTGAGTCCTCTCCTGTTAAACCAGCTTTTAAATTTAATTTCAGTTGGACACATATTAGCTCAGACAAGAATGTGTCCTTTGTAAACCAACATTCCTCATTAAGCTCTTTAGGCAAGGGAGAAAGATGAAAGAAATGTAAAAGTTAACGCTCCAGCTGATAGGGAGTCTCCTTTCTTCCTTCCTTTTCACTAACATTTTTTGAGCACCTACTGTGTTCTTGGCATTGTCTATATTATCTCATTTAAGCCTTCTGTTTTGTTTTGTTTTGTTTTGAGACTGAAGTGCCGTGGCACAACCACAGCTTACTGCAGACTCCATCTCCCAGGCTCAAACTATCCTCCCACCTCAGCCTCCAGAGTAGCTGGGACTACAGGTGTGTGCCACCACACCCAGCTAGTTTTTTTATTTTTATTTTTTGAGAGACTAAGTCTCATTATGTTGCCTGGGTTGGTCTCGAACTCTTGGCCTCAAGCAATCCTCCCACCTCAGCCTCTCAAAGTGCTGGGATTACAGGCATGAGTCACCACACCCAGCCTTAAGCCTTCTAATGATGATGAGGTGGATATTAACTACCTTGTTTAACAGATGAGAAAACAGATATGTTTGGAGAAGTTAGGTGACTTATTGGATGTTTTGTCTTCTTACAGTCATGTTATTTAGTTCCAAAACCTTAGTGATATGAACATCTTTGTACCCATAGGGAAAGATGGAACCAGTGCATATATTTTCTCCAGATCTACTATTTTAAGTTTTTCCTGGACCAAAGGCTGCTGTATGTGATTTTCTCCCAACTAATCACCAAGATACAGATTGCATTTTCCTTGTGCCCAGTGTGTGTGGATGACAGAGAAGAAAAAACAAAATAAAACAAAAACACACAGTTTCTGGCACCTTTTTCTGTCCCTTCCATGTCAGTAGAAGATCAGTTTTCCTAAAAATGACAGCAACAGGCTGGCATGGTGGCTCATACCTGTAATCCCAGCACTTTGGGAGGCTGAGGTGGGAGGATCGTTTGAGCCCAAGAGTTCAAGACCAGCCTGGGCAACATAGTGAGACACCATCTCTACAAAAAAATTAAAAATTAGCTAGGCATGGTGGTGCATGCCTATAGTCACCCCTACTCAGGAGACTGAGGCAAGAGAATTGTTTGAGCCCAGGAGGCAGAGGCTGAAATGAGCCATGATCACACCACTGCACTCCAGCCTGGGTGACAGAGGGAGACCCTATCTCAATAATAATAATAATAATAATAACAGCAACAAAGGGAAACATTCACTGTTCTGACGCAGCTTGTGGCCCTTGAGATCTCTTGGAGCTTGGGGCTAAACAGGGCTGAATTCAAATCCCCACTCCACCCACTTACCAGCTCTGTGACTCTGGTCTAGTCTTTAAACCTCTCTTTAAAATGGGGTCATAATAGCGTCTACCTCTTATCATTGTTACAAAAAGTCAAAGAGCACCTGGCTCAGTGGCTCACACCTGTAATCCCAGCACTTTGAGAGATCAAGACGGGCAGATCACCTGAGGTCAGGAGTTTGAGACCAGCCTGCCCAACATGGCAAAACCCCATCTCTACTAAAAATACAAAAATTAGCCCAGTGCATGCCTGTAGTCCCAGCTACTACGGAGGCTGAGGCAGGAGGATGGCTTGAACCTGGGAGGCGGAGGTTGCAGTGAACCAAGATCGTGCCACTGCACTCCAGCCTGGGTAACAGAGTGAGACTCCATCTCATTTAAAAAAAAAAAAAAGTCAAAGAGATAATATGTGTAAAATGCTTATTCCAGTGCCTGGGATGAAGCAAGGGTTTGACAAATGTGGTCATTATTATCACAACTGTCTTTATCTCTCTGCACCTCTACTTCCTCTGCTGCAGACCTGGGGTTGATATGCATCCTCCAAGTATCTGTGGCAGGCAGACTCTAGAATGGCCTCCATTGATTCACATCTTTTGGTATTCATGCCCTTGTGTAATCCCCTGTGGGCAAATCCTGTGACTTGCTACTAACAAATAGAACATGGCAAAACTGATGTCACTTTCTTGATTAGGTTACATGAGGTTGTAATTTCTCTCTTCTTAGTAGAATCTCCTATTGCCTCCTTTTGTTTGTTTGAGACAGGGTCTTGCTCTGTTGTGCAGGCTGGAGTGCAGTGGTGTGATCACAGCTAACTGCAGCCTCGAACTCCTGGGCTCAAGCAATTCTCCTGCCTCGACCTCCTAAGTAGCTGGGACTACAGGCATGCACCAGCATGCCTGGCTAATTTTAAATTTTTTTTTGTAGAGACGAAGTCTCGCTATGTTGCCTAAGATGGCCTCAGACTTCTGGGCTCAAGCAATCTTCCCACCTTAGCCCCCCGAAGTGTTGGGATTATAGGCATGAGCCACGGTGCCCGGCCCCTATTGCCTTCTTTTATTTATTTATTTATTTTTAATTTTTAGAGACTGGGTCTTGCTATGTTGCTCAGGCTCAATTTGAACTCCTAGGCGCAAACAATCCTCCTGCTTCAGCCTCCCAACCTGCTGGAACCATAAGCATGTGCCACCACTCTTGGCTTCCCTATTAACTTTTAGGCTTGCATGCTTTGATGAAGCAGGCTGCTACACTGGAGAAGCCTACGTGACAAGCCTTTAGCCAAAATCCAGCTAGGAACTGAGACCCTTAGTCCAACAACCATTAAGGAACTGAATTTAGCCACTAGACATGGGAAGCAGATCCTTTTTGAGTTGAGCCTTTAAATGAGACTCCAGCCCTGGCCGATATCTTGATTGCAGTCTTGTGGGTGACCCTGATGCAGAGGAGCCAGCTATGCCATCCTCAGATTCCTGGCCCACAGAAAATGTGAGATAATAAATATGTTTGTTGGCCAGGTGTGGTGGCTCACGCCTGTAACCCCAGCACTTTGGAAGGCTGAGGCAGGCGGATCACGACGTCAAGAGATCGAGACCATCCTGGCCAACATGGTGAAACTCCGTCTCTACTAAAAATACAAAAATTAGCTGGGCCTGGTGGCTCATGCCTGTAGTCCTGCCTACTTGGGAGGCTGAGGCAGGAGAATCGCTTGAACCCACTGTAACCTCCGGGAGGCAGAGGTTACAGTGAGCCAAGATCACACCACTGCACTCCAGCCTGGTGACAGAGTGAGACTCTGTCTCAAAATAAATAAATAAATAAATGTGTTTGTTATAAGTGGCAAGCAGTGTGTTGTTATAAGTTTGTGGTAATATGTTATGCAGCAATACAAAACTAATATAATATCCAGCCCCTCTCATCTCATTTCTGGTTTACAGCCCATCTCTCCTATTTCCTTAGCACCCTGCATTCATCACACTGACTCATTGCTATTGGTTTTCTTGCACTTCCTATCCTGTAAGCCCCTTGAAGACAGGCACTGAACTAAGCATTCCTTGTAGCCCTAGTGCAGATAGCAGGGGTTGGCAGGAGTGTCCTGGGAAATATTTCACAATCCCAGGGTGGGGTTGTGTTCTCCATTCGGGGGCTTCTATAACACCCCAATAATGATGGTGGTTGGTTTTGAATTCTTACTGTGTACCAGGCACTGAGATGAAGCCAGGAATGTGTGTTCTTAACAAGTTTTCTGTGATGATTCTGATCCATAGTCAGGCTTAGGAACCACTAAACCTACATTACCTGAGACATTCTGTAGAAAAAATTGCATCCTTCTCTTAGGATAGCTATACTTGTAACTTCCTTAAACAAAACAGAACAAAACTGTATTGCATACATACAGAAAAATGCACAAATCTTAAGCGTACAATTTGATGAATTTTCCAAAGTGAACACATCTACATGGCTACCACCGAGATGAAGACAGGGGGTGACCCCAGCCTCACTTGTGGCCCCTCCCAGCCCACAGCCCCAGAGGAAACCACCAATTTTAACACCATCACTACTCATGAGTTCTGTCTGTTCTAGAATTTCCCGTAAATGAAATCGCAGTCTGTACTTGTACATCTGCTTAACATTATGTTCGTGCTTTTGACTTGTTAAAATTTCTCTTCTGGATTAAATATGTAAAACGGTGACTAAGGAGGTCGGGCAGAAGGTGGAAGCCTGGGATTCCGAGACGTCCTCTCAGGTGCCATACTTGGATTTCCCGAGAGGTGTAATCACACAGCCCGCCCTCAGCTGACCTATTCTCTGCTTAAGCAGGAAGGGAGATAGGAGGGGAAGGGGGCGTGGCTACAGACGCCGAGTGTGGGGCGGAGTCTTAAGAAGAGAGGCGCAACCCGGGTCCGGCTTCCCGGCGGTAGTTTGCTCGGCTCTGGGGGCGGGGCCAGGCCGAGACTTCCTGTCTGCTCCTGCGGAATCGCAGTTTGACCCCGGAAGTGCGGGCGCTCAGGGAGCTGTCACCGTGGTCGGCGGCGGCGGCGGCGGCGGCGGCACAGAGCCGGTGGTGGAGCCGCCGAGGTGAGTGCGTGGCTGGTCCCTGCCAGATGCAGGGCAAGGGACCCCGGAGGAGCCGCGGCTATGCCTTGGGCAGCCTTGGCTCTCCCATCCTCTGGCCTCCATTGCGGGGCCCACGCTTACGCTACCTGAGGGGTTGTGAGCCGCCTCTCGAGACTTGGCCGCCAGGGTCAGGAGCCACGGGTTCGAAGTTCGGCCCCAGAGTGGCGTTGGACCAGCCACGATCCCCCCACGTCCTCACACCCGGGGCTTCAGTTTCCTCAGGGTTCATTCATTCGTTCAGCAAATATTTGTGGAGTGCTTCCTATGTGCCAGACACAGATCTAGACATTGGGGATACAAAGAAAGCAAGACAGACAAGGCTTCTGCCCTCATGGAGCTTACAGTCTAGTGGGAGGAGATGGTCAACGACAAGCAAATGCACAAGGTCATTAAAGCTATGACAGTAACTGGGAGAGTGGATACTATAGGCAGAGCCATCAGAAGGTCTCTGAGGAGAGTAGTATTTAATTGAGAGACTAGAGGAATGATGACAAAGAGGCTGAGGGAGCAGTAGCCCCGGGGATGCTCCCAGGCCATATTGCAATTGGGTGCTTGTAGGGAGCTCCCCCTCCCTTTCTTAGCTTTTGGCTTTTGCTGTCCTGCCTGGCAGGGGAATACAGTGGTGGGCACAGACATAGTCATGATTATTGTTTGTCCTTTTGGAGCTCAAAGTTCAGATTGTCCAGTTAATTTATTTTTTCCCCCCAAGACGGGGTCTTGCTCTGTCGCCCAGGCTGGAGTGCAGTGGCGTGATCTCGTCCCACTGCAACCTCCGCCTCCCGGGTTCAAGCGATTCTCCTGCCTCAGCCTCCTGAGTAGCTAGGATTACAGGCATGCACCACCACGCCCTGCTAATTTTTTTTTTTTTTTTCGGTAGAGACGGGGTTTCACCTTGCTAGCCAGGATGGTCTCGATCTCCTGGCCTCGTGATCCGCCCGCCTTGGCCTCCCAAAGCGCTGGGATTACAGGCGTGAGCCATCGCGCCCAGCCCTGCCTACTTAATTTGTACCCGTGCTTTAGACAAAAACTCAGGTCTTCCTTGACATCACTTCTTCCTCAAGCCAGGTCTCTCTTTTAAATGCTGCCACAGCTTCATGAGCCTTATCTACATAGCTACATCATGGTATTGGTTTTTATTTGTTTGTATGGCTAATTGGAAAAGTATCTGTCTTTCCCCATTATGACTGTAAGCTCTGTGAAGGGCAGGAGCAGGTTTGTTATTTGCCCACCTTAATATTCTCTGGGCATCAGTGCCTGCCACATAATAGGTGTTCAAAAATATTTGAATGGCCGGGCAGTGACTCATGCCTGTAATCCCAGCATTTTGGGAAGCCAAGGCGGGCGGATCACCTGAGGTCAGGAGTTCCAGACCAGCCTGGCCAGCATGGCAAAACCCTCTCTCTACTAAAAATACAAAAATTAGCCAGGCGTATGCCTGTATTCCCAGCTACTCGGGAGGCTGAGGCAGGAGAATCTCTTGAACCCGGGAGACAGAGGTGGCAGTGAGCCGAGATCGTTCCTCTGCACTCTAGCCTGGGTGACAGAGTGAGACTCCATCTCAAAAAAAAAGGAATGAATGAAATGATTAACGTACTGTTTGCTCTCTCGTGGTTTATTAAAGGTCTTTTCTGCCACCAGGTTATCATCATCTCTTTCTGGTCATGTCTGTCTCATACTTAAATGACTCCTCACTGCCTTCAGGTGAAATACTAAAATCTTTAGTGTAGCATTGAGGCTTTTTTTTTTTTTTTTTTTTTTTGAGATGGAGTCTCGCTCTGTCGCCCAGGCTGGAGTGCAATGGCGTGATCTCGGCTCACTGCAACCTTCGCCTCCCGGGTTCAAGCTATTTTGAGGCTCTTTTTAAACTGGTCCTGTCTTCCCTATCCAGCTTCTCTTCTCTCTTCACTTCTGTCATCCCCTATCTGACCTGTGTTTTCAGTAACACCAAATGTCTCCCTCTTCCTTCAAAGCCACACTTTTTAGACAGGGTCTCACTGTGTCCCCTAGGCTGGAGTTCAGTGACGTATCATGGCTCATTGCAACCTCAATCTCCTGGGCTCAAGCAATTCTCCTTCCGTGGCTTCCCAAAGTGCTGATTGCAGGCGGAAGCCACCTCACCCGACCCAAAGCCACACATTTTAAGACTCTGAGCCTTTGTTCATGCTTGCTCTCTGCTTGGAATGTCACCTTTTCCCCCATCCTTCAACATCCAGGTTATAGATCACCTTCTTTGTAATATCCTTCCTTTCTCTACTATACTGTAGTTTTGGACATTTCCTGTTACAGCTTTAATGCCAAATCATAGTCAGTTATATGCCTAGGACCCAGATTGTATTCAGGAATTGTTTGCTGAATAAACCAGGAAGCCCAAAGTGTCTTGCCTCTGGTTGGGACTTGAATAATAACAACAACTAAACTTTATTGAGTGCTTATTATGTGCCAGGTATTGGGTTGAACACTTCACATTGATTACTTCTCATAGCAACCCTACGAGTTTATGTACTATTACAATTCTGGTATTACAGAAGAGGCAATCAAAAGTTAGAGAGGTTAGGGAACTGTCTCAAGGTCTCAACATGGATAGGAAAAGGTGGAGCCAGGACTTGAATCCAGGCTGTAGGACTGTAGCGCTCTCTCCCTACCACCACACCAGGCTAGCCCTGAATTGCCCTGGCAGGCAATGGTTTGTAGGAGTGAATTTCTTTTAAAGAAAAAAAATTTTTTTTTTTTTTTTAAATTTTGGGACAGGGTCTTGCTCTGTCACCTAGGATGGAGTGCAGTGGTGCCATCATGGCTTACTGCAGCCTTGATCTCCTGGGCTCAAGTGATCCTTCCGCCTCAGCCTCCTAAGTAGCTGGGACTACAGGAGTGCACCACCACACCTGACTAATTTTTGAATTTTTTGTAGAGATGGGGGTCTCACTATGTTGCTTAGGCTGGTCTCAAACTCCTGGCTTCGAGCAATCCTCCTGCCTTGGCTTCCCAAGTGCTGGGATTACAGGCATGAGCCACTGCACCTGGCCGTGAATTTCTTCTGAAAGCAAATGCTGTCTCTACCTGTCTAGGCCTGGACTGTGGGGCCTAGAGGTTAAAGGGTGGAGACTTGCCTCCTCCTCCTGACTTTTTCTCCACCCTGTGTCTCACACCCAACACTCCCACAGCCATCTTCAGCGGGCGAGCCTGGAAAGAACTGGGCCTGTCAGTCATTTAGACTTCTGCACTGGTTTGCAGAGCAGTGGTGTTTCCAGCTCACTTTCCAGCATGGCTAGAGGGTTAGAAAAAAAAATTATTATTATTATTTTTTAACATATTCGGCACAAGAGCCCCAGGTGCCCTAGCAAAAGACCTGGGCTTCGGTTTCAGCTTGGCCAATAATGTATTTACCTTGAGCAAATCAGGGCCCCTCTTTGGACATCTGAACATGGTAATCCTTGTTGTCCTTAATTGGGTTGTTGTGAGAGGCTAGTAAGACAGTAACTTGATTAGAAATACGTGCAGCAGAGGATATTATCTATGCTTTGCAAAGCTGAAAGATGAAAACTTACCTAAGCCCTTTATTACTTTCTTTGCCTTGTGATTTTTTTTCAGGCCACCTCGTGTATGCAGAGACCATGTGTGTCTGATCTGCTGGGATCCTAGAGCTGGAACAGGTGTCAAGGACTAGGCAGACTGGTCCTCTCTTATTACTCCTTCTAGGGTGGGGATCTTCACAGTCTTTATAACAGGCCAGAACCAAGGTTCCTTGGGTACCAGGCTGTTTCCACCTCCTTGCCTTTGCTCTGCTGTTTCCTCTGCCTGGGGCACCCTTCTTCCCTGGCCAGTCTCTATTATCAAGACTACTCAGACTCTCCTCTAGAAGTGCTTTGACTTTCACTCCACCCCTTCACCCCGTCTCACCCCTAAGTTTAACTAAACTAGACACAGTATAGTGAATAGTTAAGAACCAGCCTGCTTCACCACCCACTAACTGTGAGACCTTGGGCAAGTTTCTTATTTTCTGTGAGCCTCTGTTTTGTCACTGATAAAATGAGGATAATAATAGAACTAACCTTAGACTTTTTGTGAGCATTAATACATGTAAAGCCAGTTAACAGGGCAAGTAAGTTAATGCTGAGAAGAGCACTTAGAGGCCAGGCGCTCACACCTATAATCCCAGCACTTTGGGAAGCCAAGATGGGCGTATTGCTTGAGCTTGGGAGTTTGAAACCAGCCTGGGCAACATGGTGAAACCCCGTCTCTATTTAAAAAAAAAAAAAAAAGAAAAAGAAAAGCACTTAGAGGAGCTCTTCATATCATTAAGCCTGGCCCAATATCTGAGATATGACACAGCTGGTAGCTCATGTCCCCCATGCTCCTCTGCTTGTCTGTGAAGGCTCAAGAGGTGACAGTTTAATCACCCCAGCCTCTGTCTCTCTTCATGTTGTCATTGAGTCTGTTCTAGCCTTTTATGGCATGTTTTTTGAGGGGCCTAATACACTTCTATTCCGTGATTCATTTAACACGTATGTCCCTTCTGTGGGTCAGGCCAAGTGATATTGTGAAAAGAACACTGGACAGCAAGACAGGAGACCTTGGATCTGCCACTCACTGACTGTGAGGTCAGTTTGTGCCTTTGTAGAAAGGAGCTTGCACTGTCAGTTTTCTATGAATTATCTTTTTCCCTGGTCCTTCTCTTTTTCCACGTCCTTCTTCCCTTCTTCCATGTCCTTCTTCCCTTCTTCTCATGTCGTTCTATTCTTCCACGTACTTCTTCCCTGAAGCCTAGAAAGGTTGCAAAATCTTAACATCCTCCACAAGTGAGGAAAGGCCCATGGCTTCAACCCTCAAAAGACTTAAAATCTGGCTAGAGTTTTAAAAGGAGTGTCCTCATATGTAGTCATTCTTCAAACATTTGGTGAGGCCACCTCTGTACCAATCCTGTGCTCACAGAAAAGATAGCAAGAGGAGAGCCCTGGGCATTGTCTTCATAGAGCTCACAGGCTACTGAGCTCACAGAGCTGGAGCCATAATAAAGGGAATCTACATATTTTTAGCCAGTACTTCTCAAAGTGGGTGGAAACAGGCTGGGCACAGAGGCTCACACCTGTGAGCGCTTTGGGAGGTTGAGGCAGCACTTTGGGAGGCCAAGACAGGAGGATCATTTGAGCCCAGGAGTTTGAGACCAGCCCGAGTGATGTAGTAAGAACTCATCTATCAAAAAATAAAACCTGTCTCTACAAAAAATTAAAAAATTAGCTGGCCGTAGTGGTGCATGCCTGTAGTCCCAGCTACTCAGGAGGCTGAGGTGGGAGGATTGCTTTAGCTCAAGAGTTAGAGGCCACAGTGAGCTATGATCTCACCACTTCACTGGACAACAGAGTAAGACTCTGTCTCTTTAAAAAAAAAAAAAGCTGGGCATGGTGGTGTGTGCTTGCAGTCCCAGCTACTGGGGAGGCTGAGGCAGGAGAATCACTTGAACCAGGGAGGCGGAGGTTGCAGTGAGCTGAGATAGCGCCACTGCACTTCAGCCTGGTGACAGATCGAGACTCCATCTCAAAAAAAAAAAAAAAAAGTGGGTGGAAATATATCAGAAGTCATCTGGGGAAGTATTTCTTCTACAATTGAGAACTGCTTTATGCAAAAAAAGTCACTTTGGCTGGGTTAGTAGGTGCATGAACCAGGTCCTGAACCACAACAGGAGCCTCCTAAGGCGAGAGGTTGAAGCTTCTCTTCTGACTCTGGGATCAGCCCCAGAGCAGGCCCTGCCCCCAGGAGTCTGTGTGTCTGCTCTCTTCTTCCCATCCATATTCCTTTCAGGAGGGTCACGCAGCACAATGCCAGCTCTGCCCCTGGACCAACTCCAGATCACCCACAAGGACCCGAAGACAGGAAAGCTGAGGACTTCACCAGCGCTGGTGAGCCGGTCACTTAAGGCCATTCAGCCTGATATTGTCAGTCTTGCAATTTCAGGAGCAAAAAGTAAATTCCGTCTTTATCTGTTCCAAGAATGACACGAGGGCCATGGTCGGTGATTCAGTAGCTGAGACACTACTAGTCTCTTCCAGGCCCAGAGTAGGAATTTCCTTCCGAGCAGCAACTTGAATTTGCATAGGATTTTCCATGTCACCACCCTGCACCTTCCCCCCAAAGCATTTAATTTCAAATCAGTCCAATGGCAGTTCTAATTCAGCCTGGATCGGGCTAGAAATGGATCCAGCCCAAAGCTGGGTTTGGGGATTTGACCCTGTGGAGGGTGTTCAGGTTTCAGGTAGCGTTTTCAGAGCTATCTAAGCTGCTATCCGTATTTTGGTGGGAACGCTGATTTCAGAGGTTGGGCCGTCTTTTATCTCAACTGAGATAGGAAGCACCACATACAAACACCCCGGCAGAGCTAGTGAGACTGAAAAATAAGGAGGCTATGAACATGTCGATTACCAGCTGCAGAGAGAGATTAAAGCCATGGAGAGGTGCCAGGCTGCTGAAGAAGGAGATAGATGTAGCCCTGGAGTTCCTATACCCACTTGTTGTTTTCCCAAGAATTTGAGCTCACTTGAACAAGGTGGGAGGAAGTGTTTTCTAGGGGTTTGAGTAAAGTCGTGGGAAACAGGAACTTGGTGTTTTATTTCCTGCCTTCTAGATGGCTTCTTATTACTTCTTAAATAGTCTCTAATAATAGTACCTGACATTTATACAGTACTTGCCCTGTGCCAGATCATTCTAAACACTTCACCCGGATTATCTCATTTAGTCCACATCACAGCCCTACAAATAGACATTTTGATTGTCTCCATTTTACAGATGAGGAAACTGAGAGTTCAGAGTCACAGAATTAGGAAATCAGGGGAGTCAGGATGGGAGCCTAGCCAGGCAGACCCTAGGACACATATCCTTAAATTCTTTCTGCTATAAAGCCTCTCATTTTCTTTTTATAACCTTTTTATGTGTGGGAGATATTTATCAGAAAATCTGGAAGTGTTCTTTTCAGTATGATAGCCACCCAATAGGTGGTCATTCACCACATGTAGCTATTAAGCACTTGTAATGTGAATAGTGAGTGTGGACTGAGGAACTAGATTTTTAATTTAATTGTAATGCTTTTAAATTAAAATAGCCCCATGTGGTGAGTGCCAGCACAGATATAGAGCAGTTATATTATTGCAGAAAGTTCTGATGGAAACACTGATGGAGACTGGCTCCTTGGGTGGTCGAGTATGATTTTCCACCTCAGTCCTCCCCACATACCGAATGAACATGTGGGTTGTTAGACTGCAGGCATTGTGAGAGCGATGGCCTGGTCCTTGCCCTTTACTCCTGATTTCCAGTGCCAGGCGCACAGGAGGCTCTCAGAAAACATTTGGTACATGAGTCAGGGACTGCAGCCAGGCCATGTGCCAGGTGCTGGAGCTATAAAGAGAAAAGACATGGTCTCTGCCCTTGAAGAGCCCACGACCTAAGAGAAAGACAGACCAGTAGCTTCTCTAGTGTGATCAGGGTTGTGACAGAAGGAAGTCTAGGCTGTTCCATGAGTGCAGAGCCGGGGCCGCCGATCCAGACCAGTGGGGTGTGTAGGGGCAGGGAGGCTTTGGCCTGGTGGGAGGGTACGTGCAGCCCAGGAGGGCTTCCTGAAGGAAAGGGCTTCTGAACTGGGTATTGAAGGGCAACTTAACACTAGCTGGGCAGAGCAACAGGAGAAGGCTGGACCTGGTAGGACAACCTTAGTATGCAGTTCTGGAGTCTTGAGAGATCCTGACTCTTACACTAACCACAAGTCACTTGAGGTGGCAACAGTATAGCAGAGTTAGCAAGTACAGGCTTCGTGTTCATTTCACACATATTTGAATATTTGTCTTTGTGTCTTTGGGCAAGTTATTGAACCTCTCTAAGCCTCAAATCCAAAAGCGATAATAATAGGACCAGCTTTGCAGGGTGGTTGTGGGGATTAAATGAGATGCCTGTGAATGAGCACTGTGCCTGGAACATAGTAAGCACTCAATAAATTGTTATTACAATGGTGATGACAGCAGGGACAACAACAGCAGCACTAAATTGGGGGTATGGTGGGAAGGCAGATGAGTTGAGGGAGACAGCTGCCTGATCGAAGAGGGGTCTTGCTGGCAGACTGAAGAGTGTTACTCTGAAGGCCACGGGCAGCTCCTGAAAGATTGTACTAAGATATGTGTCCACCCTATATTTGTCCCTTTAGTCTTGGCTTGGGGCATGATCTCTAGCCAAAGGGTAGTTACCACACCACCTTTTCAGGGTAATTGGTAGAGCTAATGTTGGTTGAGGATCTATTTGAATAGCACATACTTGAAGACCCAAAAGAAATAGTCTTGTGGCCAGGCCCGGTAGCTCACGCCTGTAATCCCAGCACTTTGGGAGGCTGAGGCAGGTAGATCACTTGAGCCCAGGAGTTCAAGACCAGCTCGGGCAACATGGCAAAACCATTTTTTTTTTTTCCCAGACAGAGTCTTGCTCTGTCGCCTAGGCTGGAGTGCAGTGGCGCGATCTCGGCTCACTGCAACCTCCGCCTCCCGGGTTCAAGTGATTCTTCTGCATCAGCCTCCTGAGTAGCTGGGACCAGCTAATTTTTGTGTTTTTAGCAGAGACGGGGTTTCACCATGTTGGCCAGGCTAGTCTCGAACTCCTGACCTTGTGATCCGCCCGCCTTGGCCTCCTAAAGCACTGGGATTACAGGCGTGAGCCACCACGTCCAGTCAGCCTCCATTCATTTCTTTGTCCAGCCAGCAGATCTGTACAGAAAGTCTGCTCAATGCCAGGTGGTGTTCTATAGACTCGGAATGCTGGGTGAGCAAAGCTCAGACTGCCTCCAGACACCTACAAGCTAGTGGGGGAGACAGCTGGGAAGACCAGTCCTCCCCTTTTATACAGCTTTATTCAGGCATTGTTGAAGGACAATAAACTGCACATATTTAAAATATACAATTTGCCAACACCTATGAAAAGAAAGGGAATTTTTTTTTTGAGGTGGAGTCTAACCTGTTGCCCAGGCTGGGGTGCAGTGGCATGATCTCTGCTCACTGCAACCTCCGCCTCCCAGGTGCAAGTGATTCTCCTGCCTCAGCCTCCCGAGTAGCTGGGACTATAGGTGCGTGCCACTACACCTGGCTAAGTTTTGTATTTTTGATAAGAGATGGGATTTCACAGTGTTGGCCAGGCTGGTCTCAAACTCCTGGCCTCAAGTGATGGGCCTGACTTGGCCTCCGAAAGTGCTGGGATTACAGGCATGAGCCACTGTACCCAGCCAACATTTTAAAAATTAAAACGTAAAATATGCAATTTGATTGGTTTTTCCATCTGTATGCATGCATGAAACTATCATCATCAATGAGCATTTCTACCACCCCTGAAAGTTTTCTTGTGCCTCTCTGCAATCCATGCCTTCCTCCCACCCTTTCCCCATCCAAACCACTGATCTGAAAGCACTTTTAATGCTGTTCAAGTGGTATAGAGAGGTGAGCACAGAATGCAGGTGCTGAGGGAGAGCTTAGATGAGCTCCTAATCCAGCTGGGATGGGAGTCAGGGAGGCTTCCTGGAAGAGGTGAGATTGGAACTGGGGTCAGAAGGACAATCAGTGAGACCAGGATGGCACACAGATACCATAGGTCATTTAATAGGTCTGCAGTGTAAGCTTTGGCTCAAATCCTGCCTCAGTTGCCTCTTTAATCCCATGACCTTGGGAAAGTTCCTGAAACTTACTGTTTGATTCCTCCTCTAAAATGGGATGAATACTATGTCTCTTTTAAATAGTTTTTGTAGATTAAAAAAATAGGGGCTGTGGGTTGTGCCTGCTTAGTGGCTGGCACAGGGCAGGTCCACAATGAGTGGCAGCTTTCATTTGCACCATTCCAGCATTCACCAAATCTGTCTCCCACCGCCCAGTGCAATCTGTGCCCTTTTGTTATGACCCATGTTTATGCCTCCATAAAAATGTTTCTTCCATTTGAAGTCCTTATCCTCGAATGCTTGGAGCCTTGGAGGAAGTCTGCTTGCTCTGGGAAGCCGTCCCTTATCCTCCAGGTGCTATTAATTCCCTTCTGCATTTCCACAGTCCCTCTGCCAGGTTTGAGCTGTCACTTCCTTTGTTTTGTGCTCACTTGGTGATTTAGATGTCCATCTTCCCCCTGTGGGATTGTAGGGAAAGTAGAATCTCAGGGGTGTGTGTGTGTGTGTGTGTGTGTGTGTGTGTCAGAAGAATGAGTAGCCTGGTGTGTGTGTGTGTGTGTGTGTGTGTGTGTCAGAAGAATGAGTAGCCTGGTGTGTGTGTGTGTGTGTGTGTGTCAGGAGAATGAGTAGTCTGGGTGTATGTGTGTGTGTGTGTGTGTGTCAGAATGAGTAGCCTGGTTGTGTGTGTGTGTGTGTGTGTGTGTGTGTGTGTGTCGGGAGAATGAGTAGCCTGGCCTGAGTGAGAAGTGAGGGAAGAGGTAAAGTGCCAACAGATAGAAGAGGGAGGAAGCTTGGAAACCAAGGAGATGTATTTCGGCTCCTGACAGTTGTTTTGAACTTGTTTCAGCCAGCAGAATTTCTTTTTCAACAGATTTGTACCTGTAACTCCATGATACAAATTTGATTTAAATGGGAGGGGGTCCTGCAGACCCACATGAGAGGTGGCCTTGAAGAATCCTTGTGGTACCCACAGGCTCTACAGTTTGGAAACTCGCGTAAGGCACTAGGAAGGCATAGATGGTTCTTGAGGAGGCTGACCTCTTATCAGTCTCAATTTTTCTATATCCCCTGGATCAACAGACCTGGAAGTGGATGGACTGTGGTTGATAAGAGCTGACACATTGCCTGGCCATCCTCCTGCTACCACTTCCCCAGAGAAAGCACCCGTTATGTAGTCAGAGGAGAAAACTGAGCCCATCTCCTCTTTATGGTGAACAAAGTAAGGTTTGTTCATGGCAAGTAGGGGCTGGAAGGGAGAACTTGTGATTCTACGCTGAGACTTACTTACAAAAAAATAAAAAACAAAAAAAAAGGAAAGAACAGACCCAGACAAATTGTTTCATGGGTATAATTTTTTTTTTTTTTTTTTTTTTTGAGATGGAGTCTGGCTCTGTCAGCCAGGCTGGGGTGCAGTGGCGTGATCTCGGTTCACTGCAAGCTCTGCCTCCCGGGTTCACGCCGTTCTTCTGCCTCAGCCTCCCGAGTAGCTGGGACTACAGGCGCCCGCCACCATGCCCGGCTAATTTTTTTGTATTTTTAGTAGAGACGGGGTTTCACTGTGCTAGCCAGGATGGTCTCGATCTCCTGACCTCGTGATCTGCCTGCCTCAGCCTCCCAAAGTGCTGGGATTATAGGCATGAGCCACTGTGCCTGGCCTTTATGGGTATAATTTAATGTAAATGCCTGGAAGAGGTCTGCAAGGACACCCATCAGATGGTGAGTGGTTACCTCTGCAGGGAACATGGGGCCTGGGAGTGTAGTCCCAGGCAGCTCACCTTCTCTGTACCTTGTAAGTTTTTGAAAGAAAAGATGCTTGTGTCAAATTATATAATTAAAAATTAATTTAAAAAGTAATATATGTGGCCAGGAGAGGTGGCTCAAACCTGTAATCCTAGCACTTTGGGAGGCCAAGGCAGGCGGATGGCTTGAGCCCAGGAGTTTGAGACCACCTGGGCAACATGGCAAAACCCCATCTCTACTAAAAAAAAATTAGCCAGGCATGGTGGTGTGCACCTGTAGTCCCAGCTACTTGGGAGGCTGAGGTGGGGGATCACCTAAGCCCAGGAGGTAGAGGCTGCCGTGAGCCAAGATTATGCCACTCCACTTCAGCCTGGGCAACGGGAGTGAGACCTGTCTCAAAAACAAAACAAAACAAAACAAAAGTAATATATGAATATATGTTCTTTTTTTTTTTTTAATGGGAAAGTCTATTCAAGCCACAATTCACCACCCCCCGCCCCCATCAGAGATAACCACTATTAGCTTTGGGGCGTCATCTCCCCAGCTTCTTTTTTAAAAATCAATACCAGTGTGTGAATATACTTACACTTTTTAAAGACCGAAAACTATGCTCTGGTTTTTCTTCATAACAAATAAATCTTTTGCCTTTTACTAAAAAAGGAAAATGAAAACTGATTATATTAAACAGAGAGTTTTGTATCCTGCTTTCTCTTCCCTTAACCTTTCCCCGTGTCATTAAATCCACTCCGAAAACATGGATTTTAATTACCGCCTAGTGTTCGCTGAATGCAACCATGCCCTCTTTGTTAGATACACTTGGTTCTTTATGCTTAAAAGCTCCTTGGAGGGTCACCGGTTGGAACAGCCAAGTGTTGTCATTGCTGTGGGTTGGCAAATGGGCCCTCGCTGACTAACCTCTGCCACGTTAACACGTGGTTTTTGGATCCGTAGCACCCCGAGCAGAAGGCAGACCGGTATTTTGTGTTATACAAACCGCCCCCTAAAGACAACATTCCCGCCCTAGTGGAGGAGTACCTGGAACGCGCCACCTTCGTAGCCAATGACCTCGACTGGCTCCTGGCCTTGCCTCACGATAAATTCTGGTGCCAGGTAACATTCTATCAAAATTAACGCTAAGACAAAGCACATGACATGCCATTGGTTGGTTGCTGTTGTTGTTTTTCTTCCCCTAGGAGGTGCTTTTTTGTCTACTTCTTTCACTGGATCCTTAACAGCAAATTGTGGTTCGGATTGCTCTGTCTTGTATCACAATCTTAATGTTTACACACCTTTCAAAGTGTCAATTTTAGAATCTTGTGTTTAGCCCTTGGCTCATTCATACCTCCTTGGTCCCTTGGGGTCGGAGTGTTTGGAATAGGGCAGGGCTGATGGGCATTGAGTCCCTGCACAGTCCACCCACAAGCCCCTGGGGCCTAAGGGATAAATCCTCGCTCTCCTCTGTCTCCTGGTTTAGGTGATCTTTGACGAGACTCTACAGAAGTGCCTGGACTCCTACCTGCGCTATGTCCCCCGCAAATTCGACGAGGGGGTGGCCTCAGCCCCTGAGGTTGTTGACATGCAGAAGCGCCTCCATCGAAGTGTTTTTCTCACCTTCCTCCGCATGTCCACTCACAAGGAATCCAAAGTAAGCCACTGATCCCATGACAGGTCATCACCCGATACTCGACACCTCTGTGCCGGGCTCTCCACCCCTGGGAAGGAAGGCTCTGGAAGCATTGAGTTTCCTCTTTGTCTCTCTTCCATCTTTATTCCCACTGTTGGGGAAGAAATCTGTGCCACGTCCCTTATCCTCTAATTCACTGGGTTGGTCTGTGTTACACCCAGTATTTCCATCAAAGAGAGCCGAGGGCCCTTTGCCAGCTGACGCGTGACTGCCTTGACTTGTGCGTCAGAGAGAAAAAACATTGATTCTGACTTCTTAAAGGAACTTGTGTACTCTTTTTAAAAATCTTTACTGTTTTTTTTTTCCTGACTTTAAAAATAATACTGCTATCTCTAAACAACCCAAACATTGCGGAAATACGAATGTCACCGACAAAATCTCTCCCCTGCAAAATAACCACTGTTAGGTGCATTTTTCTTTCTTTGCTTTTTTTGAGACAGGGTGTCACTCTGTTGCCCAGGCTGGAGTGCAGTGGCGTGATTATAGCTCATTGCAGCTTCAGTCTCCCAGGCTCAAGTGATCCTCCCATCTCAGCCTCCCAAATAGCTGAGATACAGGCATGCACCATCATGCCTGGCTAATTTATTTGATTTTTAGTAGAGACGAGGTCTCGCTATGTTTCTCAGGCTAGTCTTGAACTCCTGAACTCAAGTTATATTCCCACCTCAGGCTCCCAAAGTGCTGGAATTACAGGCATGAGCCACTACACCCAACCCTATTACATGCATATTTCTTCAGGGAATTTGTTCCCTTTGAGTGTGTGTGTGTGTGTGTGTGTGTGTGTGTGTGTGTGTGTATTTAAAAAATAGGATCTTTTTAAAAAGTGTTATAATATGGACATTTTCTCTTCCTTTTTCTTTGTTTTTAGAGAATCTCTGTCACCCAAGCTGGAGTGCAGTGGCGCAATCATAGCTTCCTGCAGCCTCAAACTCCTGAGCTCAAGGAATCCTCCAGCCTCAGCCTCCAAAGTAGCTGGGACTGCAGACACCACCACACCCGGCTAATTTAAAAAATGTTTTTGGAGAGAGGGCATCTTGCTATTTTGCCCTGGTTGGTTTTGAATTCCTGGCCTCAAGCAGTCCTCCCTCTTCAGCCTCCCAAGTAGCTGGGATTATAGGCACTAGCCACCACACCTGACCTAGAATGGAAATTTCCAAATATACATAAATACAAAATTTTCTTTTCTTTTTTTTTTTTTTTGAGATGGAGTTTCACTCTTGTTGCCCAGGCTGGAGTGCAATGGCATGATCTCTGCTCACTGCAACCTCCGCCTCCTGGATTCAAGCATTCTCCTACCTCAGCCTCCCAAGTAGCTGGGATTACAGGCATGTGCCACCACTCCCAGCTAATTTTTGTATTTTTAGTAGAAATGGGGTTTCACCATGTTGGCCAGGCTGATCCCGAACTCCTGACCTCACGTGATCCGTCTGCCTCGGCCTCCCAAAGTGCTGAGATTACCGGCGCGAGCCATCGCGCCTGGCCACAAATACAAAATTTTCATATACAAAGTACAGTGAATCCCATGTACCCTTCAACAATTATCAACATTCCGCCAATCTCATTTTATCTCTCTCCCTTAGTTCTCTTTTTTCCTGAAGTATTTTAAAGCAATCCTAGATATCATACTAATTTATCTGCAAATATTTCAGGATAAATTCCCAACTGATTGTTTTATAGCATGCTTTGTTTTTACATTAAAAGGGAGAATGGGCCTGGTATGGTAGCTCATGCCTGTAATCCCAGCACTTTGGGAGGCCGAGGCAGATGAATCATTTGAGGTCAGGAGTTCGAGACCAGCGTGGCCAACATGGCAAAACCCTGTCTCTACTAAAAATACAAAAATTAGCTGGGTGTGGTGGCGAGCTCCTGTAATCCCAGCTACTTGGGAGGCTGAGGCAGGAGAATTGCTTGAACCTGGGAGGCGGAGGTTGCAGTGAGCCGAGATAGCACCACTGCACTCCAGCCTGGGCAACAGAGCAAGACTGTCTCAAAAAATAAAATTTAAAAAAAAATTTTTTTTAAAGGGGAGGCTGGGCACTGTGGCTTACACCTGTAATCCCAGCACTTTGGGAGGCCGAGGCAAGCTCATTGCTTGAGATCAGGAGTTCGAGACCAGCTTGGGCAATATAGGGAAACCCTATCTCTACAAAAAATACAAAAATTAGCCAGGCGTTGTGGCACGTGCCTGTAGTCCGGCTACTCAAGAGACTGAAGTGGGAGAATGGCTTGAGCTGGCGAGGTAGAGGTTGCAGTGAGCAGAGATTACACCACTGCACATCAGCCTGGGCAACAGAGCCAGACCCTGTATCAAAAAAAAAAAAAAAAAAAAAAGACATGATAATACAGCCAGTTGTAAAAGTCATGGGGATGTTTAGTCTAGAGACACAAAAACATAGATAGATTAACATTTAAAAAAAAAAAAAAAGGGCGGGGGGAGAATGGCCATTGCTCCAGGTCTATGCATAAGGCATCATTAACCAGTCCCCATTTGATGGAACCAAAGATCGTTTCTCATGAGTTTGCTATTTATAATGTAGGAGTGTTCAGAAAATCTCTATCCTTTCTCTCTGCATTTTTCCTTAGGATCACTTCATTTCCCCTTCTGCGTTTGGAGAAATCCTCTACAATAACTTCCTCTTTGACATTCCAAAGATCCTGGACCTCTGCGTGCTCTTTGGAAAAGGCAACTCACCACTGCTCCAGAAGATGATAGGTGTGTAGGATGCAGGACTGGGAGGATGCACCAAGATGGCCCCCACATGCCAAACTAAAGGTTGCAAAGGCCAGCGCTTTGACAGTGCCCAGGGACTCAGGGCGATAGGGGCAGGGAGTCTTGGGAAATTGCTTAACAGATATATGAGTGTCACCTCAAAATGACTAGGTAGTGACACTACCTAGGGAGGTGGAAATAAAACTGTGTACCAGACAGTTCCCCAGGGATCTGGAAATTTTTTGTTTTTGTTTTTTTTCAGGAGAATCACTTGAACCTGGGAGGCAGAAGTTGCAGTGTTTGAGATGGAGCAAGACTCCATCTCAAAAAAAAAGAAAAAAGACAAAGCCTTGCTCTGTCACTCAGGCAAGAGTGCAGTGGCGCAATCATATTTCACTGCAGCTTCACATTCCTGGAGTAAAGCTATCCCCCCAACTCAGCCTCCCAGGTACCTGGGACTACAGGTGCACACCACCATGCCTGGCGAATTAAAAAAAAATTTTTTTTAGTAGATGGGGTCTCACTATGTTGTTCCAGCTGGTCTTGAACTCCTGGCCTCAAGTCATCCTCCTGCTTTAGCTTCCTGAACAGCTGAGATTACAGTGTAAGCCACCATTCTGCCTTGGGAGTGTATTAGTATTATGCAATTGGCCATGCATCAGACATAGGAATGGGGAAGTTTCCTTTGGCGACGAATGTAAGAACAGCAGTGATAACTAAGCTAACCTTTATTGGAGAGTGTTCCGGGGACCTGGCATTCTGCCAAGCACTCCACATATGTTATGTCAATTGGATCCTCACAGCAGCCCTGTGAGATAAGTGCTGTCATCATCCCCACTTACAGATAAGGAAACTGAGGTTAAAATGTAGGGGACTTGCCTGAGAGGATATGACTAATAAGTGGCCCAGCTGGGACGTGTGTAAACGTAGACCTGACTCTCAAGCTCTTGCTCTGCAACTCCCTGCTTCAGGGATGATGGCACTGTGTCAAAAATGTCATGATTTGCATTGTTGCTGAGAGCAGGTAGGGACAGAGTTCAGAGAGGGCTCTTCTGGGTTGCAAAAGGAACGGACATTAGCCGTTGGATCCCATTAGCAGGCAGAGGGGAGAAGGTTTGATCAAAAACAAGCAGTTTTTTTTAGAGGTTCCTCTTTATACGCACACACACACAAAAAAATAAGAAAAAAAGAGAAACAGAAGCACTGTGGGACGTTACAGAGGGAGCGCCCCAGTGAATTCCTCTTTGAATTGTAGCTCATGGAGCTGGGCCTGGCACAGAGGGGTGCTCACCCTGGACGCCCTTGCCAGCTCTCCTCACCTGGAGACTGTAGGACACAGTCTTCGAAATACCTAGTTACAAAACTGAGTTATCCCTTATAATGGTCACTTTCCTTTATTCTTTCCTTTTTTTTTTTTTTTTTTTGTGTATTGAGATGGAGTTTCGCTCTTGTTGCCCAGGCTAGAGTGCAATGGTGCAATCTCGGCCCACCGCAACCTCCGCCTCCCAGGTTCAAGTGATTCTCCTGCTTCAGCCTCCGAAGTAGCTGGGATTACAGGTATTTTTAGTAGAGATGGGGTTTCTCCACGTTGATCAGGCTGGTCTCGAACTCCCGACCTCAGGTGATCCACCCGCCTCGGCCTCCCAAAGTGTTGGGATTACAGGCGGTGAGCCACTGCGCCCAGCCTTTTTTTTTCTTAATGGTAAAGATAATATGTGTTAATTTAAGAAATTTTGAAAGGATATAAAGTATAGTGAAGCAGGAAAGCAGTTACCAGATTTCTACAAGAAACAACCATTTGGTTGTTTTTTCCTTCTAGTCTTTTCTCTGTATTTTTCTTAAACCATACTTGATCATAATGTATATGAAATTTTGCAGCCAGGCGAGGTGGCTCACGCCTGTAACCCCAGCACTTTGGGAGGCCGAGGCAGGCAAATCACGAGGTCAGGAGTTCGTGACCAATCTGGCCGACATAGTGAAACCCCGTCTCTACTAAAAATACAAAAAATTAGCCAGGTGTGGTGGTGTGCACCTGTAATCCCAGCTACCCGGGAGGCTGAGGGAGGAGAATCGTGTTAACCCAGGAGGCAGAGGTTGCAGTGAGCCAAGATGGTGCCACTGCACTCCAGCCTGGGTGACAGTGCGAGACTCCGTCTCAGAAAAAAAAGAAAAAAAGAAATTTTGCATCCAACATTTTCACTGAAATAATCTCTGGTTTCTCATTCATATCTAATTATTTCCTGATCATCAGTTAATCTTTTTTTTTTCCAGCCTGGGAAACACAGCCACACCCTGTCTCTACAAAAAATTAAAAATTAGGCGTGGTGGCATGCCCCTGTAGTCTCAGCTACTCTGGAGGCTGATTCTGGAGGATGCCTTGAACCTAGGATGTTGAGGCTGTAGTGAACTATGATCACACCACTACACTCCAGCCTGGGTGACAAAGTGAGATCCTGTCTCTTAGACCCTGACTAAGAAAGACTCCTAGTAATTTTACCACATATTGAGAGGATGGAGCAAGTGAGCATCAGAAGGTACAGTTAGAGAAACAATTCTTAGGCCAGTTTGCTTAGAGAGTGGAGCATTCCAGGAGGGCAGCAGCAGGAGACGGGGGAGGGGGATTTGGAGCCTTGGAGCCAGATTGGGAAGGGCTTCATGCCAGGCTTTAGCACTTGGGGAGTGGTATTGCTTGGTGGCTAAGAAGACAGGCTTTGAAATCGAACTGCCTAATTCACACCACAGCTCTATTCCTGGCTGTGTCCCCTTAACCAAGTCAATTAACTACTCTAAGCCCCAGTTTTTTTCATCTGCAGAATGGGAAGACTAATAATATACCTACCCATAGGATGGGTGCAGGGATTACATTGGGTTGTTGAGGCTGGGTGTGGTGGCTCACGCCTGTAATTCCAGCATTTTGGGAGGCTGAGGTGGGTGGATCACCTGAGGTCAGGAGTTTGAGACCAGCCTGGCCAATATGGCGAAACCCCATCTCTACTAAAAATACAAAAAATTTGCCGGGCATGGTGGCAGGCACCTGTAATCCCAACTAGTTGGGAGGCTGAGGCAGGAGAATCGCTTGAACCTGGGAGGCGGAGGTTGCAGCGAGCCGAGATTGTGCCATTGCACTCCAGCCTGGGCAACAAGAGCGAAACTCTGCCTCAAAAAAAAACAAATTGGGTTGTTGAGATAGCATGAGTAGAGTACTCAGGACCGTGCCTGGCATGTCTCAGCCATTGGTAAGCATGAGCTCTTACTGTGATGAGACCGCGGAGCCTCCAGGAGCTTGGAGCAAGGCAAGGAGCCATCTGGTAACAAGATTCATCTGGCCACATGCAGGTGGGGAGGGTGGAGACAGGAGGCCTTGTAGGAGGTGGGCACATCTGTGTGGGTTTGAAGGTGAGAGCCTGGCTGGGCTGCTGGGGAAGAAAAGGAAATCCAGGAAGCAGATTTAAGCAGGGCTTGGTGAGGTCAGCTGGAACAGGTGTTGGTTGCAGGAAAAAGGCCCTTTGGGAGGTGGGAGAGGAAGCTTTGGGTAGAGGTGAGGTTCAACATGGGACCTATTGGGTGTAAGATGGCTGCAGGTATCCAGAGGGGACTGCGTGGTGATGGGAGAGTGAGAAAGCCTACTCACTTACTGCCTGGGCTCCTAATCGTCCAGATCACTGACTGCTTTGAGAATCAGATGAAAACTTCTGTCCAGAAAAATGTCCTCCCTCATAGATTCTGAGGTGTTTTTAAGAGTTCTCAGACCTTGAGGTTGAGAACCCTAAACTGGCTTATTAAGAAGAGCCCCTTCTTTGGCTCCTAGAGGGGAGTCAGCACAAAAGAAGTCAGGACCAGGCCTCAGGAGCCCCTTCACTGTGTGTGTGTGTGTGTGTGTGTGTGTGTGTGTGTGTGTGTGTGTGTGTGTGTGTGTGTGTGTGTGTGTGTGTGTAGGCAGGGAGTGATGCAGAGAAGGGACCTGCAGTTTCTGTCTGTCTCTCTCACACACACATACACAGCAGCTCTCTTTTTCTGTCTGTCTCTCTCACACACACATACACAGCAGCTCTCTTTTTAACCTTTGAGCAGAAGGCACAAGAAGGGGCAGCCGCCGATTTCTATACCGCGGAAACTCAGTCAAAGTGATCACTTGTAAGAGGATTGACAAGTGAAAGAAGGTGGGAGAAAGGGGACTGGTTGAGTGTTCTGTGAGTAGAAGCCCAGTTCCTTACCTTGCTTTTTTTTTTTTTTTTCCAAGCAATCCTCCCACCTTGGCCTCCTGAGTACCTATCCCAATCCCCCACCTAATTTTTTTTTTTTAACTTTCAAGGCTGGTATTGTGCATCAACAAGTATAATTTTGAAAGCAAGCCATTTCAGTTAGACTCTTGACACTGCTTTGCAAACCAGGAATGACTTGGGCCTTGGCCCAATTGTGGACTGCAGTGATCTACTTGGCAGTATCTCCATTCACCCTGGGTTTCTGAACTGCTTTCATCTGAGAAGGGACATTTCAAAGGATGCCATTGCTATTCCTTACATTTTTATTATTTCTTTAGGAGATCAAAAGTTACATCGTCACTGTCATTAGAATCAGATGAAGGTGAGGAAAGGGACTTAGAAGACCCCAAGAATAGAGTATGAAATTTGATCTATACTGATGCATGTAAAACCTCGCTTTACTCAGGCTGCAGCACTGGAAGGATCATGAGAGGGTGCCTCCCCAGTGCGAAGTGGTTGGGATGCTTTGGAGAACATGGTATGGCCCTGGGGGTTGTAAGAGGAGACCTCTCCTAATGCCTGGGTCAGGAGGCACTGCGTGGAGGAGGTGACACCTGCCTTATGGTGGAGTTAGCTCTAGGAAGGCACTCCAAACAGAAGGCGGGGACAGGGATGGTTTTCTGAGGTTGAGAATGGTGTGAGGGAGGAGTGTAGTGTAGGGAAGGGGGAAAGGGTGGCCTGGGATACCAGCAGAGGCCAGATCTCACAGGGCCTTTTGTGCCATGGTCAGGAGTTTGGACTTAATCTTGAGGGTTTTTTTTAGGAAGAACAGAGTTTGGTGGGGAGATAGCTCTGTCTTTCCTTGCCTATCAGGAGTAGGAAGTGGGTGCAGATGGTCTGGGCACACCTTCACAGGTTATGGGATCAGCACCCATCTGGAGGTGGGAGGTGCTGAGCAAGTGCGGGCTGGTAAAACTCAGCTTTCTGGAATCAAGAAATGCAGTGGCATCCAGGAAAGTGCTTACAGAAAGTCCAGCCACCTAGTGACTTGCTTACTCACCCAGCCCCATCTGGTTTTTGAACTCATTCATTTTTCAAATCCTCCAGGGTCCAGCAAGGGCTGCATGGTCATCGATAAGGAAACCAAGGACAGACCTGCCCAAAGGCAGAGAACACCTAGAATTCAGAGCATCCTGACCATCAGCCAGCCTTAGATGCTGGGATTACAGGGGGCCAAGAACCCTGGCTGCTTAAGGGCATTGGCATTTCACATTGTCACGTCCCCAAGCTAGCTGTGATCTTCCCTCCCTCCCTCCCTCCCTCTCTCCCTCTCTCCCTCTCTCCCTCTCTCGCCATTTGGGCAGCTGGAACACTTGGTTTCTGTTCCAGTTACCATATGCTCGAACCTACGCACTCACAGCGGCAGCACTTGGAGAATAGTAAACACTTGGAGACAAGCTTCATCTTATAGGAACAATTGCAAGTGTGTGGTAAATCTATCTCCAAGTCCTTCTCAGGCCTCTCACCTTGGAGTAGGATGGATTAGTATGGTTAGCATATCTAAAAGTGAAAGGTATGAAATTTCCGGAGAAATATCTCCCTGGAATCTCCTCATATTATTGGAGAGTCCTGGATTATTGCATCCATGTTTCTTGAGCAAAGAGATCCTATCTGCTAATTTTCCTGGATGACTAACTCCAACTTGCAGAGCCAAAGCTGTCATAGGAGGCAGGGTACCCAAGTGTGATCACTCCCTGGGGACATCAGTGTGAGCTGGTTTGACCAGGGCGGGTCTTTTATGTAATTCACTAGGCAGAGGTACTTAAAAGGTTAAATCATACTGAGCAAGGTCCCTCCCCCACCCTGGGGAAGCTTCTAGGCTGGGCCAAAGCTCAGTGCCAGCAGGGCCTGGGGCCAGGACTCGTCCTAGGTCCTAGCTGCAGATAGGATTAGGAAAAGGGAGAAAGGTCACAGACCTGCTGGCAACCATTTGTAATGTGTCCTCTTCACTGCCCCGAGCCCCCACCTTTTCTCAATTCCAACCTTTCTCTTCTCTTTTTAGGAAACATCTTTACACAGCAGCCAAGTTACTACAGTGACCTGGATGAAACCCTGCCTACCATCCTTCAGGTACCAGCTCTTGGCCCTGCGCAGGGGAGGTTGAGCTTGGAGGATAGGCCACCTCCCCAACTCAATGGTGTTGCCTGACTTTCCTGGAGGAGCTGAGGAAATGTTTATTCCCTGACTCTCGCATCTCCCCAGACAGTCTCTTTGTCTTACCCCTGACTACACCTCTTTAAATTTGCCGTTTTCCCTTTTGAACAAGACTTAAGCCTAAGGGCTGGCTGGCTGGCGCTCATACAGACAGAGTTTGGCTTGCATTTTTTGTTGCTTGCCAACAGCCATATGCCTCTAAGGATATCCCTCTAAGAGACCAGTGTTTCTCAAAAAGTAGCTTTAAAGTTTTACAAAATTATTTCATGAAATAATGTTCATTGTAGAAAATTCGGAAAATAAAAAATGAAAGAGGAACATTATCATTCCCTCATAATCCCACCACCAAGAGATATCTACTGTTCACAGTAAGTTTTGGAATCCTTACATGCTAGCCTTCTTAAAATGGCACAGTCAGTTCAGTGCCTACGATGGACCGTTTTCCTCTCACTGTTGATTTGTCTTATTTTCAATGTAGTTTCCATAAATAGCCATCTACAGGGGTTCTAAAGATTTGTTATACATTGCTAAAGTATATCTTAAATGTTCATTATACTTGCCTGGCCTATGCGGTCAGATAATATCTACAGGATTCTGGGAGGATTTTCTTTTTTCTTTTTTTTTTAAGACAGGGTCCTGCTCTGTCACCGAGGCTAGAGTGCAGTGGCACAATCATAGCTCACTGCAGCCTTGAACTCCTGGGCTCAGTTGATCCTCCCACCTCAGCCTCTCAAGTAGCTGGGATTACAGGTACACACCATCTTGCCCAGCTAATTTAAAAAAAATTTTGTGGAGATGGGGGTCTCACCATGTTGCCCAGGCTGGTCTTGAACTTCCGGCCTCAAATGATCCCCTATCCTTGGCCTCCCAAAGTTTGGGGATACAGGAGTGAGCCACCACACCTGGCCCCAGGTTGTCTTTTTAATCCTCTTCGCCCTCCTTTAAGAAGGATGCTCCCATCATCCCCATCTTACATAGTTTTTACTCTGACCTCACTCTTGGAGAAGGTAATTGTCTCAGCTTATATCCTGGAAACATGGGTAAATATTCTAGAAACTCCAAGGCAGTTTTCAGATCACCTGACCCTGGCTGCTGCCAGGGGTCCTAGCCCTGGTTCAGTATGATGTGAGAGAGCCCGTTCTTGTCTTTCACAGGTCTTCAGCAATATCCTCCAGCACTGTGGTTTGCAAGGGGACGGGGCCAATACCACACCCCAGAAGCTTGAGGAGAGGGGCCGATTGACCCCCAGTGACATGCCTCTCCTGGTAAGGTTGCCCTTCGGCCCAGTCTCTTTCCTGCCGGGTCCCTCCAACCAGGGCCTAGCTACCCAGAGGCTGGGAAGATTGCCCCAGTAGAGGACCCAGTGGCCTCTTCCCTGCCCAGGGCCCCTTCCTCCAGCACAGTGAGCAACTATTATGTCCCATCACACAGGTTTAGAGCATTTTCAGCTGGCTTGGATTTCTCTCTGGGAGCTTCATTTATAGAGTAGTGGAAAGAACTGGGGAATAAGGATTCAGAGTCCTCATTTATTTCAGTTTGACATGTTCACTTGTGCGTTATTCATTGAGCCATTTATTCAGTGGACTTATATTGAGGAGTCCTGAGCATGTGCCAGACCCTGTGCTATGCCTGGAGGCAAAGCAGTAAACAAAAGCAGACTGGCCCCTGCGCTCATGGAATTTAGAGTTGACAAGGGTGACAGATAGAAGGCAAACATTCAGGAAGCCTCAACATGTGTCAGGTGCTGCCCTAGCCCTGGAGATAGAACAGGAACAAGGCAGCTATGAGCTGTCCTCCTGGAGATGGTGATCTCATTTCAGAAGGGCACGTGGCAGGTGCTGTGGGAGCAAATCATTTTACCTCTCGGAACCTCGGTTTCCTTTTCTGTAAAATAAAGATCCTCAATAGCTTCCCAGCCTACTTTTCAGAGTTGTCATGAGAACCAGGAAAGTGTGTAAGAAACTTAGAAGAAAGTGTTTTGTATACCCTCTTCAAGATGTGAAAAACCTATGGACTTAATATTCTTGTCCTGCCTCGGATGTTCCTTCTTTGCATGATGTCTTCAGATTCAAGAGTTGGTTTTCCTTTAGCTTAGAAGAGGGAACTGTATTATCTTAGAACTGGAAGTAACCCTAGCGGTGATTGGGTGTAAGGCCATTGGAGTAATGACCTGAGGCTTAGAGAGGTTAGGTGACTCACCCAGATCGTGCTCCTGAAGATGGACTAGCCAGACTTTGCCTGGGACCTCCAGTGTTCTTTTCCTCCTGTGTAACATCCTGCCTGTTTGGGACCCTGACTGTTTTAATGTTGTCTCAGGTGCTCTGCAGATCTGTATGTGTGGACAGAGGAGAATAATGCAGTGTATTCTTTTGGCAACAGGAATTAAAGGACATTGTTCTCTACCTTTGTGATACCTGCACCACACTTTGGGCCTTTCTGGATATCTTCCCTTTGGCTTGCCAGACCTTCCAGAAGCACGACTTTTGTTACAGGTAAGGCGGTAGTTCTGGCTGTTGAAATAGAGATACTGGCTTATGTACTAATTTAACAAATATTTACTCATTTAACAAATATTTACTGGGTGCTTAGAATGTACCAGTCCCTCTTCCAGCCTGGGGATGCAGCAGTGAAAACGACAGATAAGCCTCCTGCTTGTGTGGCGCCTGCATTTTAGAAGCACTCCTGTTTTTGGCCAAGACCAGGATAGGGCAGGGAAAAAAAATACACACACACATACAATGGGCTGGGCGCGTTGGCTCATGCCTGTCATCCTAGCACTTTGGGAGGCCGAGGCGGGTGGATCACCTGAGGTCAGGAGTTCAAGACCAGCCTGACCAATATGGTGACACCCCATCTCTACTAAAAATACAAAAATTACTGGGCATGGCAGCATGCACCTGTATTCCCAGCTACTGAGGAGGCTGAAACAGGAGAATCACTTGAACCCAGGTGGCGGAGGTTGCAGTGAGCTGAGATCGCGCCACTGCACTCCACCCTGGGTGACAGAGCAAGACTCCATCTAAAAAAAAAAAAAACGCACAACCAAGAATAGTTTCAGTTCAATAGAGTAGCCTGGGGGGAACACACACTAGGAAACAACAGGAGTGCTCCAACATGGAGCTGTGAGATCACCCTTGAAGGATGTCTTGAAGGAACAGGTATCTTCCAGACAAAGAAAAGTTCCCATAGCAGGAAGGGCATCCTAGGCAGGTGAAGTGAAGCATGCAGAGGCCCAGAGAGAGAGCTGGGGAGTGAAGTGTGACATGAGGCAGAGGGTGGGGACACACAGAACAGCAGGAAAACAAGCCAGTAACAAGAGCCCACTTTGGGTAAGTCAGTAGAAGTCAGATCGTGGGGAGCCTGGGATGTGCTGGCAGGGCCTTTATGCTGTAGGCAGTGGGGAGCCCCTGGAGGCTTTTATCCAAAGGAGCTGTTAGAAAGATCCTGGTGGGAGGGAGACAGATATGAAAGAGAATATGAGCCAGGGAGGCAGACCCACTTTGCCCTCTTAGCACCAAGAGTATCTGTTGCTTGTGCAGTAAGAAAGGGGTGGGTGTGGGCATTCCAGGCCAGGGTGAAAGGGTTGGCAACCTGCGTATTGCCTGGCAGTTGTGGGCACAGGCCTCTTCCTAGTGGCCTCTGATTGTCACTCTAGCAAGACGTTTCTCCCCACCATTTGTAGCAGCTTCTGGGAGCTGCCCAACTCCATCCATTCAGCTGCCTGTCCATTCTGTCATTTACTCACCCATTTAACAAAACATTTATTTAGTCCTTACATGTGCCAGAGATGGCAGCTGGTGCTGTGACCCCTCCCTGGTCGCCTCAGCTTATAAAAATCAGACATTAGGGTTATTGAGCCTCCCAGAGAATGTTAGGATAACCTGCTGCCTGGCATTTTCCCCAGAAGAGAGGGGTATGTAGCTGTCCACTTTTTTAAAAAGGTATCTTTTCTCATGATAAAAGCAGCATGTGCTTGTAGAACATTTGGAAAATCCAGAAAAGTAGGAAATTAAAATCACCATAAGAAATCATACTATTCTTAGAATTTCGTACCTTGCATATTTTCGCTTATCATAGGCATTTTCCCATTTTGTTAAAGTGTTTCCCCAAATGTGGCACAGATTGCTTTTGAAAGGCTCTTTGGAGATGGGGAAGGGATAAGTTTTGGAAGAGCTGACTTTACTGCAAGGGACAGCAGAGGCAGGGGAGAAGCTATACCCATCTCAGGGTGAGGAGGAAGAAAGGGAAACACTTTTGACTAAAGGCAACACTGCCTTTGACCCACGAACACCCTGGGGCTGACCCAGCCTCCAACTGTGCTGGAGGCCAGGAACGCCCTGCTGAGCAAATACAGCCACCTCAGTTCTCCAGGCCTCTCTGAAAGTGGTTACAGTTGCCCAATCAGCTTTGTTGATAATCCCTCTCAAAATAACCTTTTTCCTCCTTCCTTTCCCATCTATTCAAGTATAGCTGAGTAGATATACTTTTATGAATAAATAACACATTCACATGGTTCAAAACTCAAAAAGTATAAAATACACACTGGAAAGTCCCCCTTTCTACTTTCCCAGTTCTATTATTCACATACAGCCATCATTAGGTTTTTTTGGTGGAATTTTCCAGAGATATGCAAGAATATATGCACATATGAGCAACTGTGCACATTATATGTCTCCCTCCTTTTAAAAAATTTAAGGCTGGCATATTATGAGTATTTACTGTTTGCATTTTACTTTTTTACTTAACAGTGGTGCCACATCAGTGCATTAAGCACCCTTTCTCTAATGTCTTTGGTATGGCCGGGTAGAATTCCACTGTATGGAATACCAGATCCCATAGATGGTCCTTTAGGTTTTTTTCAGTTGTTTGCTATACAAAAAAATACTACAGAGGCCAGGCGCAGTGGCTCATGGCTGTAATTCCAGCACTTTGGGAGGCCAAGGCAGGCAGACCACTTGGGGTCAGGAGTTCGAGACCAGCCTGGCCAACATGGTGAAACCCCACCTCTACTAAAAATACAAAAATTAGCTGGATGTGGTGGCACGCACCTGTAATTCCAGCTATTCGGGAGGCTGAGGTGGGAGAATTGCTTGAAACCGGGAGGCGGAGGTTGCAGTGAGCAGGGATTGCACCACTGCCCTCCAGCCTGGGCAACAGAGCGAGACTGTCTCAAAAAAAAAAAAAAATTACAAAGAATAACTTTGCACACACATTATTTGGTACCTCTGTGAGTATATCTGAGGAATAATTCCTAGAAGTAGACTAGCAAGGACAGATGGTATGTACATTTTTAATTTCCATAGATCTTGCCAAATCGCCCTCCATAGGGGTTGTTCCAATTTACTCTCCCACCAGCAACATATCCTGGCAACAGCTGAACCTGTTTAGGCCAAACTGCCCTCTCTGTCATTTTTCTGGACTATCCTGTGGGCCTAGTAGGGCCTGCCTCTTTTGGCCTAGTTACCCTTTGTTACATATAGCATTGTAGTAGGATAGACATTGCCAGAAACCAGCCAACTGACAGGCATGTGTTTACAGAGGACTTGCTCCAAATTCAGCACCAACCTAGACACTTAAGCTGCAGTTCCGGCTTTGGGAAGCTTAAGATGTTTGGGGGAAGAATTATACCACAGAAAAGAGGCAGCTGCAGTTTCACTTGCCAGGGCAACAGGGCAATATATTCCACATGCAGTGCATCTAGTTCTGGAAAGGAAGAATTCCCATGAGTGAGCATGATCAGGAAGTGCATGGGAGGAGATGGGCCTGGAATGCTGCATGGAGGAGGAGGAGAATGAGGAGAAAGAAGAGAAGAGCAGTGGCCAGCATTAGCCTGAGAGGAAGCCAGAGGGCTGTGGGAGTGCTGATCTCTGGAAGAATGTTGAGGGGTTGTGCGGCTGGGATGGAGAGTTTGAATTTGAGTTGGGAAAGGGTGGTATGAAATCACCTAGGTGAGAAGCAAGATTGGCTGTATACCGTGACAGATATGGATGTACCAGAGAGAATAATTATGGTTTGCTGTCATAAGAGGTAGGGAGCTGCTAGCAGCTGTTTTTCTTTTGTTTTTTTTTAATTAGTATAATTATATTTATTTGAAAATAATTTCGTATAAATTATTTTTAATTTTACAATTTTTAAATTTTTTTTTGAGACAGTCTTACTCTGTCACCCAGGCTAGGGTACAGTGGCACAATTTCAGCTCACTGCAACCTCCACCTCCCAGATTCAAGCGATTCTCCCTCCTCAGCCTCCCGAGTAGCTGGGATTACAGGTGCCCGCCCCCATGCCTAGCTAATTTTCGTATTTTTAGTGGAGACAGAGTTTCCCATGTTGGCCAGGCTGGTCTCAAACTCCTGACCTCAAGTGATCTGCCCACCTCAGCCTCCCACAGTGCTGGGATTACAGGCATAAGCCACCATGCACAGCCTTAATTTTATAAAAGTTTTAAGCCAGGTACCTGTAATCTCAGTGTCTTGGGAGGCTGAGGCAGGAAGATCGCTTGAGCCCAGGAGGTCAAAACTAGCCTGGGCAATATAACTAGACTTCGTCTCAAAAAAAAAATTAATTAGTTAACTAAAAAGTTATAGAAACAGTGCTAACTGGCTTAACTCATAAGCCAATGTAGAAAATATGATACATTTACTTTTTTCTTAAATTTTTTAATTATTATTTTTTATTTTAATATATTTTTTTCTCATTTCCAATGGGATTGGGAAAAAATCATGAGAACATTTAGCCTATTTTGACCAAATACAAATATTGTGTTGAGATTTTCATGTTAAATTTTTTTTTTTTTTTTTTTTGAGACAGAGTCTCACTCTGTTGCCCAGGCTGGAGTTCAGTGGGGGGCGATCTTGGCTCACTGCAACCTCCACCTCCCAGGTTCAAGCAATTCTCCTGCCTCAGCCTCCTGAGTAGCTGAGATTACAGGCGTGCACCACCACTTCTGGCTAATTTTTGTATTTTTAGTAGAGACGGGGCTTCACCATGTTGGCCAGGCTGGTCTCAAACTCCTGACCTCTAAGTAATCCACCCATCTCGGTCTCCCAGAGTGCTAGGATTACAGGCGTGAGCCACCGCACCCAGCCAGAACAATTTTTTTTTTTTTTTTTTTTGAGATAGGGTCTCACTGTCACTCAGGCTGGAATGTAGTGGTGTGATCATGGCTCACTATAGCCTTGACCTCCTGGCCTACTGCCTCAGCCTCCCAAGTAGCTGGGGCTACAGGTGTGGACCACCATGCCTGGCTAATTTTTGTATTTTTTGTAGAGATGGAGTTTCACCAGCCTGTTTCCCAGGCTGATCTTGAGCTCCTGGCTCAAGCAATCTTCCTGCCTCAGCCCCACAAAGTGCTGGGATTACAGGCATGAGCCACTGTGCCTGGCTAACTGACAGTTTTTGAGCAAGAAAATTACAAGCAAGTAATCTTGGATCTGCTTCTCAAACTTCAGTGGGTTCCGAGTGGCCTTCTGATTCCTCTGTTAGTATGAGCCTATCTGGGCCTCAGTTGCCCATCTGAATGAGGGACATGGCTATAGGTCACTTCTTATGAGCTGTTCCTGGGACCAGCCCTAGTGGGTCAGTCTGGGGTGAGCTCAGGGAAGAACCAAGGGGTCCCTGGAGAAAATTGTGTGGAAAAAGAAATGGGCCTTCCCACTCCCTGGGGTTTGCTTTGATGTTCTTATGAAGTGTGGTATTTATGAACTAATCCAACATTTTCCCTGTGTGTGCCTGCACAGACTAGCTTCCTTCTACGAAGCAGCAATTCCCGAAATGGAGTCTGCAATTAAGAAGAGGAGGCTTGAAGATAGCAAGTGAGGCGGGGACAAAATTAAGAATGTTGTTGTGGGACAGAGAGGCCCGAGCAGGGCCCTGCCTTCCCTGGGCATTAGCATCCCTATCTCTAAGACAAGTGGGTGGGACCAGGGACTGTGCAGCTTTGAGCTTCTGCATCCCTATCTAGCCACTTCCTGACCTCTGCATTTGTTTTTTTTTTTGTTGTTGTTGTTGTTGTTTGAGACAGGGTCTTGCTCTGTCACCCAGGCTGGAGTGTAGTGGTGCAGTCACAGCTCACTGCAGCCTTGACCTCCTGACATCAATCAATCCTCCCACTTCAGTCTCCCGAGTAGCTGGGATTATAGGCGTGTGCCACCACACCTGGCTAATTTTTGTATTTTTTGTAGAGATGGGGTTTTGACGTGTTGGCCAGGCTGGTCTTGAACTGCATTTTTTTTTAAACTCTTAGCATATTAAAAAAAATATATGTTCTCTGTAGACTTGTATGAAGACCTAATAAGAAAGACTGCAACAACTAGAGTTAAGTGTTACTAAACACCGTGAAGGAGACTTGACCCAAAGTCCTGCTTGTACTAAGGCAATTATGTCTATTAACCCAATCCCCCAAAATACCATGATGGCTGGGCCCTGCATTGAAGCCCTTCCCTCAGCTGTTACTCCATGCTCTTGGTACTCAGCCTGCTGGTTCCTGACCCACCGTTTGAACTGAGAAGCAGCCCTGGAAGCAGCTATCTTCTCTGGGCCTATGGCTTTTGCCAGCTGCTCTCAGCAGTGAATTGTGAGGCCTTCTCTGCTCCAGGGAGGCACCTGCAACTGCTGGGGAGAAGCTCCCTTTGTGCCTTTTTTTCTTTTTCTTTTTCTTTTCCCTTTTTTTTTTTTTTTTTTTTTTTTTGAGACAGGGTCTTGCTCTGTCACCCAGGCTGGAATGGCACCATCATGGCTCACTGCAGCCTTGACCTCCCAGGCGAATGCGATCCCCCTGCCTTAGCCTCCCCAGGAGCTGGAACTACAGGCCTGCATCACCACACTTGACTAATTTTTTGTATTTTTTGTAGAGACAGGATTTCACTTAGTTGCTCAGGCTGGTCTCAAACTCCTGGGGCTCAAGTGATCCTCCCACCTCAGATTCCCAAGATGCTAGGGTTTCAGGTGTAAACCACTGCACCTGGCCCCTCAGGGCCTTTTTGTCTCCTAAACCTGTGTCTTTTTTCTCTCTGGCCTAGGCTTCTTGGTGACCTGTGGCAGAGGCTCTCCCATTCCAGGAAGAAGCTAATGGAGATTTTCCACATCATCCTGAACCAGATCTGCCTCCTTCCCATCCTAGAAAGCAGGTAAGCCCTCACGAATTGCCTCCTGGTGGAAGAGTCTCCTCCCCAAGCCCTTCAGGAGCGTTTCCATTATTTCATCTTGGCTTCCTCCACTGCACTGGGGTTGGCTGAACAGAGATGAGAAACCAAGAAAAATGCCTCATTCCTCCACTGGGCCCCAGCCTTAAAGAGGGGCAGCGGGTGTGTAAAGGAGCTGCAGCTCATCTTGCATTGCATGAGCTCATCTTCCCTGGTGTCTTGTTCTAGCTGTGACAACATTCAGGGCTTCATCGAAGAGTTCCTTCAGATCTTCAGCTCCTTGCTGCAGGAGAAGAGGTGAGTGTGGCTGAGCTGGCCTGGGCCCATGACCCTCCCACAGGTCCCCAAGAGGCCTTACATGATAGACCCCCGCTATAGGCCCACCACAGCTCTAATAAGGTCGGGCTGCAAACACAGGGAGTGGCCTGCAGCAGCACAGCATTCCTGTGGCCCCAGCTCTGTCCATCCCATCTGCTCTCATCTGCCTGCAGGTTCCTCCGGGACTATGATGCACTCTTCCCCGTGGCCGAAGACATCAGCTTGCTGCAGCAGGCCTCATCAGTCTTGTATCCTTCTACCATAGCCCACTACGACAGGGCCCAGCTTGACTAGGTCAGAGGTGAGACAGGCTGCTGGAACCCAGAGGAGTGGAAAGAGGTTTAGCCCCAGAACGCATGGGTCAGCCAGCTGTCCGAGGTGGCCTGCCAAGGTCCCAGCCTTGCCTTTTCTAGAGGAGATGGCTGCTCTGATGCTTGGGGCAGGGGAGATGCAGTGCTATTTTCCGTCTGTGTTTCCTGAGTATCTGGGCCTATGTGACCAAGATGGACTCAGCCCCTCCTCACAGCAGGAGGGGAGGTGGACAAGTAAACAGGCAGTTAGATAGAGTGTCACGTGGGAAGATTTCAGAGGGCAGGAAACCAGAGGTGGCGCCTCACCCAGCAGAGCTCTGGGTGGGGGTCTCAGATGGAAATGATGTCCAAGCAGAAGAACAGCAGAAAGAATGGGAGAGCACCAAGCCAGGAGCAAGGACAAGGACAAGAATGTTCGCAGTGGACAGAGGACAGAGAAAACAGGCTCCTTAGAGCCACAGACGTGTATAGAGTACAGGGGGCAGTCCTTAAGGAGGGGTCTCCCAAGAGGAGGAATTGGGGTGTTGCAGGTGAGGTGAAGGCCAGCAACGTGCACAGCCCTGGGGTGACCATCACTAAGAAGTTTGGGCTCTGTCCTGCAAGCGCTGGGGAGCGCGGAAGGTTGTGAAGCAGGAAGTGACATGGGCAGTTCTATACTTTGGAAAAGCTCTGTCTGGCCCAGGGAAGAGAATGGACTGGCCCAGGACCACCGTGAGGCTCGGGCCAGTGAGGAGGCTGTTGCTGGCATCCAAGCATGGATGATGAGGGTTTGGACAAGAAGCAGTGAGGGAGTCTAAGGGGACTCTCAGATTTCTGGCTTGACAGTGCCCAGGGTTGTTAACAAGGAGGAAGGACAGGGAGGAGCAGCCAGCTTATGGGTCATTTTTGGTGGTTGCAGTAGATTGCTCAGTCCTGCTTCAGGGAAACCTGATGGCCCACAGCCTTTGCAGAATGCCCTCAGCTGGTTGGACAGGAAGCCCAGTGGCAGTGGCCCTACCACGCCCTCCTCCTGGCAGTCAGTACAAAAGAGGAGCTGCTGGCTCGTCCATACCTGTGCCCCAGGACACTCTGATGGCAGCCCTGGCCCTGTCTTTACTCAGAGCTGCTTTCTGCTGAGTGAAAGGCACTAGGTTGTGAGGCCAGAGTGGCTGTAGTCTGGCCCATTTTTCCATGCAGCCCAGGTGCCCGTGGGCTATACCACTTAGATATAGCCCAGAAAGCCCCTGGCAGGAACCATGTGGTCAGATGCTGGGGAGGGACTGAGAAATTATGCTGCTTCAGAGCTAGGAGCTTAAGACAGACCCCTTAACAAGTCCTCACAGGGACGAGACGCGGACTGCCTACATCCTCCAGGCAGTCGAGAGTGCATGGGAAGGGGTGGACAGACGGAAAGCCACAGATGCTAAAGACCCATCGGTGATTGAGGAGCCTAATGGGGAGCCTAACGGGGTCACGGTGACAGCAGAGGCAGTCAGTCAAGCATCATCACATCCGGAGAACTCGGAGGAAGAGGAGGTATGTGTCTGAGTGGCGCTTTTCCCTCTTCGCTTGTCCCTCCTTGGCCCTATCTGAGAGGCTGGGGCAGCAGGAAACCTCCCTTCTTTGCTTTTATACTCAGGGAAAAAGTTTTTTTGGGGAATAGACAGCCTCAAGCAACTGGTCAGCTCTGTGCTGCCTTTAGAGGGTCCCAAGCTGGGGGCATGCTGGACTGTGTGTGAGGAGAGAGCAAGTTGCTTCAACTATCGAAGCCTTAGCTTCCCCTCTATAAAATGAAGAGACGAAACTTTCCATGAACGTTTCCATGAGCCCTTCCCGGAGCTCTCCTCTAAATAGATAAAAGTGGAGCTCCTTTGGTTGCAACTGGGAACAGTGCCAAGTCCCATGGTTTGGCCTTCTTGGAAGCCCCTCCGTGGGGCTCCAGGATTCCACTGAACAAGTGTAGAAACCTCGGATCTGGTGCCTTCTCTCCAGGCTTTTCCAGGACTGGCCGAATCTGTGGCTGTCTTGATTGGCCACCAAGGCCAGGACTCTCCCCTGCATGTTGGGAGGCAGCATGATAAGAGAGATGAAGACCACACAGACTCAGGCGAGGCAGCTCAGGGGTGTGACCTGGTTCTGCCACTTGGCAGCTGTATGGCCTTAGGCACGTCACTCACGTTGAACCTTGGTTCCTCATCTATAAGGTGGGGACAGATGTAGTGCCCACCTCCATGAGGTGTTGGGATTCCCAGAGCTATCACATGGAATACCCTGAGCCTGACTGGCCTTCAGTGCTCCATTAACAAATGCCACAGTCCTTCCTCCCAGCCCAGACCCTGTGATTCCTGCAGGGCCTTGGAGAACAATGGCCTCCTTCACCTTTTCCCACCTTCTTCCCCATTTCGCTTCTTAGCAGAGTCATGGAGGTTTTATTGTTGTGATCTGTAAATTTCCTTAAATTAAAAGGCTAACACAATTAAGTCACATTGAGCAATATATAAAATGCATGCCCCTTACTTAAAAAAGAGATTGTAATTAAAGGGGAGCATCTCCACACAGTCCAGCTCTGGTGGTTGATGTTCGCCTCCACCGTCAGTAAACTTGTTGGAAAAGGACCTTGGATTAGTAGGAAGAATTGGTAGAAACCAGGGCTGTTTATGGAGGGCCTGGTCTGTGCCAAGTACTGTGCTCACTGGGTTTTGTGCCATCTTTGAACTATTTGAAACAACCCCATGAGGTGGGTGGTATAGGCCCATTTTATAAGGAGGAAACTGAGGTTCAGAGAGGGGAAGCATCCTGCCCAAAGTCACACAGCCAGTAGCCCAGCTGGTAAGTCATACAGTCCCTTCAAAATTTTAATTTAATTTAATTTAATATAATTATTTATTTGTTTTTGTTTGTTTGTTTTTTGTTTTTTTTTTGGAGATGGAGTTTTACTCTTATTGCCCAGGCTGGAGTGCAATAGTGCGATCTCTGCTTACTGCAACCTCTGCCTCCTGGGATCAAGCGATTCTCCTGTGTCAGCCTCCTGAGTAACTGGGATTGCAGACACCCACCACCACACCCAGCTAATTTTTTGTATTTTTTTTAGCAGAGATGGGGTTTCACCATGTTGGTCAGGCTGGTCTCAAACTCCTGACCTCAGATGATCCACCTGCCTCAGCCTCCCAAAGTGCTGGGATTATAGGCATGAGCACCATGCCTGGCCTAATTTATTTTATTTTATTTTTTATTTTTTGAGACAGGGTCTTGCTCTGTCACCCAGGCTGGAGTGCAGTGGCTTGATCAAGCTCACTGCAGCCTCGACCTTCTGGGATCAAGTAATCCTCCCACCTCAGCCTCCTAAGTAGCTGGGACCACAGGCGCATGCCACCACGCCTGGCTAATTTTTTTAGTAGAGACAGGGTTTCACTGTGTTGCCCAGGCTGGTCTCAAACTCCTGAGCTCAGGCAGTCCACCCGTCTCGGCCTCCCAAAGTGCTAGGATTACAGGCATGAGCCACCACACCCGGCCACCTGGCTACTTTTTTAAATTTTTTGAACAGATGGGGTCTTGCTGTGTTGCTCAGGCTGGTCTAACTCCTGAGCTCAAGTAATTCTCTTGCCTCAGCCTCCCAAAGTGCTGGGATTATAGGTATGAGCCACTGTACCCGGCCTTAAATTTTTTTTATTTTTTTTTTTTGTTTATTTTCCTGGATATGTAGTAGGTGTATATATTTATAGGTTACATGAGATATTTTGATACAGGCATGCAATAATCATAACAATCACGAGCCCCCTTTTTCACAGAGAAGGAAATGGAGGCTCAGAGAGACTTGAGTCACTTGACAAAGTTCCCACAGGCAGGAGGGGTAATCCCAGGACTTGAACCAGATCCCTGATGCCTAGTCCAGTGCTGTCTGGGGCCTGTGGCCCTATCACCGGCCCACTTAGCCTTCCCCTTCTTGGCTCTGGCTCTCACTACAGTGCATGGGAGCAGCCGCGGCTGTGGGCCCTGCCATGTGTGGGGTGGAACTGGACTCTCTCATCTCCCAAGTGAAGGACCTGCTGCCAGACCTTGGTGAGGGCTTCATCCTGGCCTGCCTGGAGTACTACCACTACGACCCAGAGCAGGTGATCAACAATATCCTGGAGGAGCGGCTGGCCCCCACCCTCAGCCAGCTGGACCGCAACCTAGACAGGTGGGAGAGACAGGTGGGAGGAGGCTCCCGCTGCCCAGGCTGCCTCGGGGTGGGGCCCCTTCCTCTCTTCCTTCCCTCATTCATGGCCCAGGACTCAGCTTGTTCTCTCTTCCCAGCCATTTAAACTAAAGCCCTCTTTGGGGAAACATAAAAACCTTAGGCCCCGCAGGAGTTTTTCACTTGCCCCAGGCAGGGCAGAGAGTGTACACATCCCTGCCACACTTTGTGGGAAGGCTGATTAGAGCGCCATGGATGTGTCTTCAGGGATGTAACACAGGGTTGTTGAGCCCTTCTGATCCCCTACATTCCTGACCTGCCCCTGTCATTACGACCTTCCCAGTAGATTTGTGAGAGAGGATGGCCACAGCGTCTCACTTTCATCACACCTACCATTTATTTGGCCCACTGCTGCCCTGAAGGCCCCATGGGACAGCAGGAACCAGTGCCCGAAAGGGTGTTTCTTCCATGAGCAAGTGATGTTTACCAATCACTTGTTAACTTGAGAAATTAGCTTTGTGCCTTTGGACAAGTTCCTCAGCCTCTGAGGCACAATGAGGTTGAGTGATCTGTGACTACTGATCTTATGCGACTATTACGAGCATTAAATGTGGGATAGCGCTTTTAAGAAACAGAAGGAAACCCTGTGTGAATGGCATGCAGAGAATGAGGGGGAGCTTTGTTTGAGGTGTGGCTGCATACCCAGGCAGAGGCCAGATCAGGCAGCAGCTTATCTCCCTCTTCAAGGTTTTGAGATTGTGTCCTAGGAGTGCCTGTTGAAGGGAACTGAAAAATCCGATGGATTTAATACAGCAGGGGGAAGTGGGGTGCAGATTGCATCAGCTGGCAGGGCCCCCTTAAATTGATCTCTGTGTCCCCCACCCAGAGAAATGAAACCAGACCCTACACCCCTGCTGACGTCTCGCCACAACGTCTTCCAGAATGACGAGTTTGATGTGTTCAGCAGGGACTCAGTAGACCTGAGCCGGGTGCACAAGGGCAAGAGGTGAGTGCAGTGGGCCATGGGGTTCCGATACCCCAACTCTGGAAGTGCAGAGAGGACACAGGGAAACCAAGGGCTCCATCTTCGCAGAATTGGCCATGGAGTATCAGCACAGGGATCCCTTCACAACCCTAGACCTGTGCACCCCCAGTGGTTAGGAGCAGGTTCTCTACTGATCAGGCTTCAGGTTCTGACTCTGTGCAGGGAGGCTGTTAGTGAATCCCCCCTGTTGATAGCAAAAGGCCAGAAGGGCCAAAACTATCCCCCTCTTCCCTTCTTCTTACATCTTTTAATGTGTTAACCATCAAATCACTGGTGGACAGTGCTTCCCAGAAACCACTCTTTGACCTGATTTTCCCCAGGCTGTGAGAAAATTAAGGACTTTGAATGAGCTTTTCAGAAGGTGAACATATTCCACTTTAAGGCCTTTCTATTTATTTTTAGTTTATGTCCTTCCTACTTTTTTGGCATTGAAAATTCCGTTCATGATTTATCCATTTATTCAACAAATATTTGTCTAATACTTACAGCATTCTAGGCTCTGGATTAATTAGGTTCTGGGGATATAGTGGGGAGTGAAACAGACACGGCCCCTGCCCACGTGGAGTTTGCATTAATCAACTCATCAAACAAGCAACATCAAATTGCAGGTATAACAAATACTACAAGCTGGAGGTGCACAGAATTCTGAGCCTTTGGTAGGGCTTCACCCCAGTCAAGAAGGCTCCTCTGAGAACATGACATGGGACCGAGAGCTAAAGGGTGAGGAGGGGTCACTTCTGCAAAGGAGGGAAGGAGAAGCTTCCCAAGCAGAGCAACAGGGACAGTGGTCCCGAGGCCATAGTGAGCACAGCAAAGGGTCCCATGAACCGACAAAGCCAGCATATTTTATGTTTTGAAAAGATCAGGGCTGGGTGCAGCGGCTCATGCCTAGTCCCAGCACTTTGGGAGGCCAAGGCAGGTGGATCACTTGAGTCCAGGAGTTCGAGACCAGCCTGGGCAACATAGCGAAACCCCATATATACAAAAAATACAAAAATTAGCCGGGTGTGCTGGCACACGCCTATAGTTCCAGCTACTCTGGAGGCTGAGGCAGTAAGATCACTTAAGCCCAGGAGGTCAAGGCTGCAATGAGCTGTGATCGTGCCACTGTACTCCAGCCTGGGTGACACAGTAAGAACCTGTCTCAAGAAAAAAAAATAAGAGAGTTCACCCAGCGTTGGAATGATGACCCATCAGAGGGACAGAGAGTTGGATGTCATGGTAAAGAGTACAACATCCAAGTAGAGAACAGCAAAATAAGATGTATTCTAGTCCCCCAAAGTTCTGCATGGAATCTAGAAATCAGGGGACTTCTTTACAAGTACAGGCTGCTCTTTCACCATCACGTGAATGGGGACCGTGAGGTTCAGAGAGGGAGGAGACCAGCCAGCCTTGTTCCTGTGGTAGGAGCCCCAGTGGCGGAAATGCCAGCTGCTTCTTCAGTTAGGGCCCTGTGCTGTTACCCCTCCCTAGGGCTGTCCACTGCTAAAAGCTTGGCTGGCTGAGGGCTTGGGGAACTGGCGCAGGGCAACTACAAAGCCGTCTGGCTGGCTGGACAGGAAGCACTTGCAAACTGCTTAGTCATACACATTGCAACACCCCCAGATCCCAGGCCAAAGATGTTATCCTGGATCAGTGGCCGCTATTCCAGGCCAGCATGGCCCTCTGTAGCTCCAGCGGTGGGCAAGGGGCAGACAAGGGGTCCTCCAGGCTGGCGAGAAGCCTGGCCCCCTGCTCCAATCCAGGAAGCCTGATTGGTAAGTTCCCCACAGAGATTAGCCATCTCTGGATATGGCCTTTCACCTTGATCTGTGGTTTTGTCCAGGGCCCATGGTATTGTAAAGTCTCATCTCACCCCACCTAGGTCATAAGTCACCTACGAGCATTTGCCAAGGGGCTGGTCCCAGCTGTCAGGGTCAGCAGAGTGGCTGGCATTGAGGTGGCCAGGTTTCTGGAACACTGTGCCCTTGTTCCTGGGGCCCTCTGGGCTGGCACGCAGAGAGACTCACTGTGCTGGGTAGCCCAGGGGCTGCAGATTGCAAAGAGGCAAAGCCTCCATTCATGTGTTCATTATTTATTCATTCAGCAAATATTTATTAAGAGATTTAGTAGCACCAGATCCTATGCTAGACACCAGGGAAACAGGGTGAGCTGGATACCCGGCCTTGCCCTCAAATGATCATAAGAAAGACCATTAAACAAGTAAGGACAGAGTGGGAGGTGCTGGGGTGGGGTACACAGGAACTTCGGCAGGGACACATGTCCTAATCCCATGAGAAATTAGGTAGGACGCTGCAGATGGTAGTGGAGTTAAAATGTGTTCGTTGTTGAATCAGATAGGCTGTACTCAGTGCTTAAGTAGTAAGGAAATCTGTTCCCTTGCATGACAAGGCGGTGTAAGGTAGGGCCGTCTAGGCTTGGTTGACCTATCATCCAGAATGTATCTTTCCAGTCTCTTGGGGCCTCACTTCGTGGTCAGGCTACTTCCTTTGAGGCTGCAGAGGGGCTGCAGCTGTTTCTACTATGGCTTCCAGACATGACAGTGCCAGGAGATAGTCCAGACCAGGTCTTCCTGTGTCTCTCCTAGAGCCTAGGATACCTTTCCCAGAAGTCTCCAATACCCCTCATATCTCATCAGGAAAACCAACTCACAGGGTGCAGGCCTGGAGCTCCAGGGTGAAACGGAAAGGTAGAAAGACCTAAAGAAAATGTAGGGTCTGTTTGGAGAATGGGTGAGGTGCAGCATGGCTGTTGTGGAGACATCAATACATGTGCTACAGGTATATCATAGCCAGTGAAGGAGTCAGTGGGCAAGAGGCAGGGTCCCCTAATCCCTTTGGACCATTCCATGGTGCCCTGGAAGACAACATGTGTTCTAAAAATATCTGTGCCGGCTGGGCGTGGTGGCTGTAATCCCTGCACTTTGGGAGGCCAAGGTGGGTGGATCACCTGAGGTCAGGAGTTCAAAACCAACCTGGCCAACATGGTGAAACCCCATCTCTACTAAAAATACAAAAAACTAGCTGGGCATGGTGGCAGGCATCTGTAATCTCAGTTACTCGGGAGGCTGAGGCAGGAGAATCATTTGAACCTGGGAGGTGGAGGTTGCAGTGAGCCAGGATCACACCATTGCACGCCATCCTGGGCAACAAGAGTGAAACCCTGTCTCAAAAAATAATAATAATTAAAATTTTATTTTAAGTGTCTGTGCCCTTGGTCTGCCTTTTGGGGAGTCGCAGAGCACATTAAGGCTCTGAAAAGTCCTGTAGTAAAAGAAACAGGATTCACTTTGTTGAGCCCAGAAAGTGCTGGATCTGCTTCGACATGTCATTTCTTTCTCACATCAGCCCTGGGAAGTGGGTGCCAAGAGAAGGAACTGAGACTTAGCGAGGTTAAGGGACTTGCCTGTGGTCACACAGCCCAGGAAGTGGCAAAGCAGACCTGAATCAGGAGACCTGTGTCTGGCCCTGGCTTTGCTCTTAGTAGCTGTGTGACCTTAAGAGGGTTGCTCTGCCTCTCTGGATCCCCTGATTCTTCACCTGGAAAAGTAGGAGTCTGTTGCTTCCACAGGCTCTTTAGAAGTTCAAAGGCAGGAGTCACCCTGCTAAGGACCAGTTTGAATTGGGCCTTGAAGGACAGGCTTGAGGAGATGAGGAAGGGAAAGGTGGCGAGGTTTCAGGGGCACCTGCATATTCCCAGGGCTTGCTCCCATCTTGGAGGCTGAGGAAGCTACCTGCTCCAGAGGGTCTCTGCAGCCACCATTGCCTGTGTTTCCAGGCTTGACTGAAGTTCTGGCCTCTGATGCATCTTTTCCCAGCTGGCTTTGGTCCTGATTTTTCTTTTTCCTTTCTGGCTCCAAATGAGGTCTGGGGCCAAGGTTGCATCTCCCTGGACAAGCTGCCCAGGTGCCCGGGCTTCACTGTCCCTACCTGTGTCTTCTTCCAGGGCATAGCTAGGGTGGGTGGAGCTTGCCATGCTTCTCTGCCTGGCCCTGCCAGGGAGCCACATAACCAGAGGCCACACAGCATGAAAGAACTGCCCCACTGCACAGAACCAGGGATGGGATGGACCAGAAGCCGAAGGTGTAGCAGAAAGGATGGTGATGCCTCTCATTCTTCCTCAGTCTCCTGGCCCAGCACAGGTCCTGGAACCTATTAGGCCCTTAGGAAATATGTGTCAAATGCATGGGTGTGCTCCTACCAGTGGCACCTACCACCTGAACAAGCTTGGGCTCCTTTTTCTTCCTCTCTACCTCTTTTTCAGCTTAGCATAGAAAGCCAGGTACAGGGCCAAGGTCACAGTCACAGGCCCCTTCCCTGGTGGATGTGAAAGATTTCTTTGAACTGAGATTTCTCCCTGGTCTAAATCAAGTGCACCATCCCTCCTGCCATACCTTGGGGCTCCTGGTCCAATCAAGTAACCCCCTACCGTGGAGCCTCCATTACCCCTTCCTACAGATGCCCAGCCAGACCTCCTGAACCAAGTTCATTCCCTTTGTTTCCAGGGCTTCCGTTCAGCACATTTCGTGTTGACTGGTCTGTCATCTCCACTACACTGAGTTCATGAGGGCAGATCTCTATCTTCTTCATTTCTGAATCTCTCCCCAACTCAGCCTCATACCCTGCCCGGCACAGAGAAGGTCCTTAATAAAGACTACTAAAAAAAAATACAAAAAATTAGCTGGGCTTGGTGGCACACACGTGTAGTCCCAGCTACTGGGGAGGCTAAGGCAGGAGAATCGCTTGAACCCGGCTGGTGGAGGTTGCAGTGAGCTGAGATCACGCCACTGCACTCCAGCCTGGGCAACAGAGCAAGAGTCCGTCTCAAAAAAAAAAAAGATGTGAAGGGAGGCAAACCCTAGCCCGCCATGCTGAAGGCTGCAGTCCTGACCTGCCCTGGCTGCCAGGCAGATAGCCTGACAGACTGAGATGGACTCAGACGCCTGCCTCTCCCTGCACCAAAAGCCAGTTAATAGAAGATTTTTATGGAAGCTCTGTTTGGCTTTGTGTCTTTTCTTTTTTTTTTTATTATCTTACCCTTGATACATTCCAGAGACCCGATTTCACAGCTAAGCTGGATTTTCTTGCCTGGCATCTCATATTGATTTTCCCCTGCAGGGCTAGAAGCTACATTCCACAGGCCTGGGTATGTTTCTGACAAGCCAGGTTTTTTCACAGGTTTGCAAAGCCGTGAGTTGAGAAGCCTCAGTCCCTGCCGAAGCTGTGCTGCAGCTCACTTGTGACCCAAACATGTTCCTTCTCCCACCCAATGCACCCGAGTTTCCTCACCTGTAACGTGACCAGAGTTGGGCTTCCAAACATTTTCTTCCAGTGAAATTTTACATGGAAACTTGAGCTGTGGAAGAGACAGAAGGCTGCTGTAGTGAGGTGGGGGTGATAGGAAGAGGACTGGGAACCCCCTTTTCTTATACCCCAGATATCCCTATGGCTCCCTTGAGCTCAGTCAGAAAGCCACATGTGGCCTTACTGCTTCTTAAATTTTTGTTTGTTGGCAAGGAAAGGTCATTTTTGAAAAAACAATAAACGAATAACAATTTTAAAATGAAAAAAAATTTTGTTTAAGAGATCCAGGCTGGGCACAGTAGCTCACACCTGTAATCCCAGCATTTTGGAAGGCTGAAGCAGAGGATCACTTGAGCCCAAGAGATCAAGACCAGCCTGGGCAATATAGTGAGACCCTGTCTCTACAAAAAATTTAAAAATTAGGCTGGGCACGGTGGCTCATTCCTGTAATCCTAGCACTTTGGGAGGTTGAGGCAAGCAGATCACTTGAGACCAGGAGTTCCAGACCAGCCTGACCAACATGGCAGATACCCCATCTCTATAACAAAATACAAAAATTAGCCAGGCATAGTGGCACGCACCTGTACTCCCAGCTACTCAGGAGCCTGAGGCACGAGAATCGCTTGAGCCCAGGAGGCGGAGGTTGCAAGATCATATCACTGCACTCTAGCCTGTAACAAAAAAAAAAAAAAAAGATTTAGACAACTCCAGGTGCTTCCAAGCAGTAACCACTGTCATTTGGCGTGGGGCTTCCTAGCCTTCTGTCTGCATTGTCATGCATAGGCGTGTGGCCATAGAAACAGAGTTAGCGTAGTTTGCTTTTGGGATCATACTGTACGCATTTTTCTGTAGCTTGCTTGTTTTCCTTGGGAATAAGTGAGAATTCTTTCCGCATCAGCACAAATAGATCAATGTCTTTCTTGACAACTACCACACAACGATCTAATACAGATGTGGCACAGTTCATTTGGCTCTTTCACTCATGATGGACATTAGTTGCTTTCCATTTTTCACTGTTGCAAACAATGCTGAAAAGAAAATCCCTAATCAGACCTCTGTACACAGAGCTGGTGTTTCTTTAGGGCAGATGCCTTGACAGGGAATATCCTGGTTGAAAGGTACGCACATTTTACCTTTTTTATTTATTTATTTATTTTGAGATGGAGTCTTGCACTGTCGCCCAGGCTGGAGTGCAGTGGCGTGATCTCGGCTCACTGCAACCTCCACTTCCCAGCTTCAAGCGATTCTCCTGGCTCAGCCTCCCGTGTAACTGGGATTACAGGCACCCGCCACTATGCCCGGCTAATTTTTGTATTTTTAGTAGAGACGGGGTTTCACCATCTTGGTCAGGCTGGTCTTGAACTCCTGACCTTGTGATCCACCCGCCTCGGCCTCCCAAAGTGTTGGGATTACAGGAGTGAGCCACTGCGCCCAGCCCCATTTTACCTTTTAACAGTGGCTCTTGGCCGGGCGCAGCGGCTCACACCTGTAATCCCAGCACTTTGGGAGGCTGAGGTGGGGGGATCACTTGCGGTCAGGAGTTTGAGGCCAACCTGGCCAACATGGTGAAACTCCATCTCTAATAAAAATACAAAAATTAACCAGGCCTGTAGTCCCAGCTACACGGGAGGCTGAGACAGAAGAATCGCTTGAACCTGGGAGATGGAGGTTGCAGTGAGCCGAGATCGTGCCACTGCACTGCAGCCTGGGTGACAGAGCAAGACTTCCTCTCAAAAAAAAAAAAAAACAGTGGCTCTTGGGATGCCCTCTAAAGTGGCTGGAGCCATCCTTATGGGCACCAGCAGCAGTGACAGTCCCACCCTCCCACGCCCTCACCAATGCTTGATTTCATTTGTCTCCGTGACAGTCTGAGGGCTGGAGCAGTTAAGCCTGTGGTCTCTGGACCCTCCGTACCCTGCGGCCTTCCAAGCCTGATGGTTTTCCTTCCTCTCTTTCTGCTGTTCCTTCTCAGCACCAGGAAGGAGGAAAACACGCGGAGTTTGCTGAACGACAAGCGTGCAGTGGCGGCACAGCGGCAGCGCTACGAGCAGTACAGCGTGGTGGTGGAGGAGGTAGGCCACCAAGGCCAGGTCTCTGCTGGGCCAGGGAAACCAGGCCAGCCCCTGAGCCCCCCAGACCCATGCTTATGCCATTGCAGGTGCCACTGCAGCCAGGCGAGAGCCTGCCCTACCACAGTGTCTACTACGAGGATGAGTACGATGACACATACGATGGCAACCAGGTGGGCGCCAATGATGCAGACTCTGATGACGAGCTCATCAGCCGCAGGTGAGGCCATAGTGGGGGTGGCGTTCCAGGGCAGAGCAGCTCTCAGGCCCATGGGGCTCCCTCACCCACTTGTTTACACAGATGTGGCAGATCCAGGGCCCAAACCCAGTCCTCCTGACTCCTAATCCAGTGCTCCTCCACCCCAGCCCACCCTGAATGGGGCAGCATTTATTCGGTGTCATGCAGTAGCTTTGCGTTTTTCTTTTTTGAGACAGAGTTTCACTCTGTCGCCCAGGCTGGAGTGCGGTGATGGAATCATGGCTGACTGCAGCCTTGACCTCCTGGACTACAAGTGATCATCCCACCTCAGCCTCCTGAGTAGCTGGGACTACAGGTGTGGTGTGCACCACCACACCCCGCTAACTTTTTTATTTTTTGTGGAGGTGGGGTTCTCACTATGTTGCCCAGACTAGTCTCACCTCCTGGGCTCAAGTGATCCTTCCACCTCAACCTCCCAAAGTGTGGGTATTACAGGCGTGAGCCACCGCGCTCAGTCCATTTTTCTTCTTAATTGAAGAAAATGTTTTCAGGTGGAATGTTACAGCGATTCCCCAATACAGATCCAAGCAGAGCTGTCCCGACTGAAGAGAGGACTGGAGACTCTCCCGGCCCCATTTCAGTCTCCCCCTCAACCCCACCTCAAATTCTGGTAACCTCAGAGAATCCAGGGGCTGGAGCAAATCTGGCTTGAAAGGCTTTTGGTTTTTCCCAACCTCCTGAGCCCTCCTGGCGGCCCCATCTCACCCAACCAGGTTCCCTCCTCCTTGTGGCTCTTGCTCCTGGTTGAACCTCGTCTTTGATCTCATTTCTCTCCACACCCTCAGGCCATTCACCATCCCTCAGGTGCTGAGAACCAAAGTGCCTAGAGAAGGGCAGGAGGAGGATGACGACGATGAGGAAGACGATGCTGACGAGGAGGCTCCCAAGGTACCTCCCTGGCAGGTAGCAGATGAAGGGGAGAGTGCAGTTCTGAGGGGTGAATCAGAAGGGCCCCTCACCCCTCCCTATGTCTGGCCCTGAGGCAGCCCCAGCATCACTGGCAGGGACAGGAGGAGTCCCTTTGAGCCCAGGATGTCTGCTTGGAGAGCTACTGGCTTAGAACTAACTTCTGCTGCCCACTAGTGAGGACCTAGGGGACAGATTAAAGGCAGGGCCTCTGAGCCACCAGCTTCATTATTAGGCCCAGGAGCCTAGGAGTCAGGAGAAGGGCAGTTAGCAGCACCATACCCAGGATGGCAATTCTTAAAATCAGAGAGGAGTTAGAGCCCAAGGGCCCTGGGAGGTCATCTGGATCGGTAAGTTAGAAAATTCTACTTTTTAGCAGCTAAACTTTTTATTTGAATGAAATCTTAACTAGAACCTCAACGTACAGAACAGATAAACGCGGTACTGCTCAGGTGACAGGGCAGCAACCTGGGATCATGCCCCACACCAGGGTGACAAATTCAGATGTTTCTGGGGCCAGGTCACCAACGGCAATGAGTAGCGGGGCCTGGTGGGGACTGCGCTGAGCAGTGGGAAGCACGTGCCCTGCCTCAGGGGCTCCTCGGTGCAAGCACAGACTCAGAGTTTCCACAGATTTATCTGCTTCTCAGGCAAGGGGTCAGCCCAGATTTTTATGTAAAACCTACCAGTTTTGTGTGTGTGTGTGTGTTTTGTTGTTGTTGTTGTTGTTTTGGAGATGGCGTCCCACTCTCGTCATCCAGGCTGGAGTGCAATGGTGCAATCTTGGCTCACTGCAACCTCCACCTCCCGGATTCAAGTGATTCTCCTGCCTCAGCCTCCCAAGTAGCTGGGATTACAGGAGCTCGCCACCATGCCTGGCTAATTTTTTGTATTTTCAGTAAAGACGGGGTTTCACCATGTTGGCCAGGCTGGTCTCCAACTCCTGACCTCAGGTGATCCACCTGCCTCGGCCTCCCAAAGTGCTGGGATTACAGGCATGAGCCACCACACCCAGCCTTCTTCTTCTTCTTCTTTTTAGAGACAGAGTCTCGCTTTGTCGCCTAGGCTGGGGTGCAGTGGTGCAGTCATGGCTTACTACAGCCTCAAACTCCTGGGCCCAAGCAATCCTCCCACCTCAGCTTCCCTAGTAGCTGGGATTATGGGCTCACACCACCACGCCTGGCTAGTTTTTATGTGTTTTTGTAGAGATGGGATCTCACAGTGTTGTCCAGGCTGGTCTCAAACTCCTGGACTCAAGTGATCCTCCCACCTTGACCTCCCAAAGTGCTGGGATTACAGATGTAAACTACAGTGTCTGGCCTTTTTTTTTCCTTTTTAAAGCTACTGGCCACCAAAGCCTGTCTGTGGTCCCTAGGTCCCAGTTTTTCCTTGCACTATTGGCAGAGAAGGCTGTCCTTGAGAGTGGGCACTCCCACACATGCTGCTAGTGGTGCCACAGTGAGGCCTAGGCCTGCAGCTCCCGGGACCACTTAGCTCCCACGGTGGCTCCCGCAGTCTTCAGGGCCCTGCACAGCCTCTCACAGTGGCCATCCTGGCTTCCCCACCACTCCCATTTGTCATTGTTATGCCATAACTATGGTCTATCCACTCTACCAGCCTGTCCAGGAAGCCTCAGTCCCTTCAGCTGCCACCCGCTCAGGGAAGAGGTGGGGCAGGGGGCTCCTAATGGAAACCTCAGACCACAGTAATCCCACTCCATTCCTGGGCGTCGCTCTGCCAGGCTGCAGCTTCCCCCCACACCTGGCATGGAGGCATCGACAAGCTTCACTTGAGCAGGGCCTCATCGCCGCTTAGGAAAATGTGGCAGCTCCTGACTCCAGATTTGGTCTCCTCTCCTTTCCACAGCCCGACCATTTTGTTCAGGACCCTGCAGTGCTGAGAGAGAAGGCAGAAGCCAGGCGCATGGCCTTTCTCGCCAAGAAAGGGTGAGCATTCAAGGGGCTGCTTCTGGGGGGACCCCTCCCACCATCTGGGGAGGGCCTAGCCAGCCACCCAGGAAACCCACACGTACACCCTAAGTGCTCCACGTGTATTTAGTTCTCACGACAACCCAGTGAAGTAGCTACCATTATCACTATCCTTATTTGACAGATGAAAAAACTCAGGCCCAGAGACGTTAAGTAACCAGCCAGAAGTCACACAGCTAGTAGGTGATGTAGCAAAGATGGAGCCCAGATGGCTCAGCTCCAGGGTCCCCACTCATAACCATTACTTGGTGAACACAGGAGGGGATTTATCACCCAGCGTGTCCAGGGCTAGCTGATATCAGGCAGAGTGTAAATGTGAGAGAGCTCAGACAGACACAGACACATCCTTTCTGGCTGATAGAGGTATGGAAGTGACGGGCACTTGAGTTGGGCCCCTAAGGGTGAAAAGGGCTCAGAGGAGTTTGTCATATGAGGGCAGAAAAGTAAGAAAGCAGGCGTGGTCAGGAGAGGGATCTTCGAGGGGAGCTGAGATCAGTACCCAGAGACTCCTCATCCAGGCCCCGCATCTTCCCAGTGAGGAAACATTGAGAGGGGCCAAGGATCTGCCTCCACCTAAGGCCAAGCCAGGAGTAGAAGCCCACTCCCGCATCCCGGCCCTAGGCTTCATGCAGCACTGTCTGCTGGGTTCAGGAGGCCTGGCCACAGGGAAGGCATTTGGATTTCATTCTGAAGGCAGTGGGGAGCCACAGAAGGTTGTTGAGCAGGGAGCAGAGCAACCCTGACTTCTCATCCATCCCAGCCCCCTGAGTGCGGAGCTCTGGCAAATCCCAGTGGTCAAGATGGTCTGAAAGGGCCCTAGGTCACATCTGTGAGTGCACTTGGTCTTTGGAGGCTGCCAGGCAAAGCCCTAGGGTAGAGAACAGGAGTAATGTCTCAGCTACAGCATGTGGCCCCAGAGGGAGAAAGGAGGAGACCCACCTGAAGCCCTCCCCGTCTCCTGTAGGCTGTGTCAGCTCTCTAGCTGTTCCTCCGCTACACGTAGCAATGGGCGGACCTGGAAGCAAGGCCCAGAGAAGAGAAAACACCAGGCTCGGGGCTGGTCAGAGCCCCAGGGCCCTGCCCCTGCTGGGCTCCATCTCTCCTTCCATCTGAAGTTGGGACATGAGTGACCAGGCCCAGTCTGTGTCCTCTCCCAGTGAACACCAAGGCAGGCTGTGGGCTCTCCCGCCAGAGCCTCTTCCGGCTGACAGGTTCTCGTGGGGTGGGTTGTTCCTCCCTCAGGTACCGGCATGACAGCTCAACAGCAGTGGCCGGCAGCCCCCGAGGCCATGGGCAGAGCCGCGAGACAACCCAGGAACGCAGGAAGAAGGAAGCCAACAAGGCGACAAGAGCCAACCACAACCGGAGAACCATGGCCGACCGCAAGAGGAGCAAAGGCATGATCCCATCCTGAGACCTGGTGCAGGGCCAGTGGGGAGGCAGCGGCACCAGACTCACCAGGCCGTGCTCCCATCGCCTGGGGCCTCCTCACTAGGGGCCCCAAGTTCAACTCAACCCCTCAACAGCCTCAGCTTTGCAGCCCCTGAGAAGGCCGCCTCTCATCTACCAGCCAGCCATGAGCGCCTTCCTGCAGAACACACAGTGCCTTATGCCACAGCCGAAGAATCCGTGGGGCCGGCAAGCAGGCACCTTCCCCCAGCTGCGCTAGCGGGAAAGAGATGGGGATGGAGTCCCAAGGCAAGCGCCCCAAACCTCGGGCCACAAGACACCACTTCCCCTTTACCCTGGACAGCAGGAAACCTGTATATTCAAAAACACAAAAAGTCCTGCTAATAAAATTTTTGACCCTTTCAAACGATCTGTGTATGTCCATGACCCACATTCCCTGTGTCTCATTCTTCAGGGACAGCTGCCAGCTGGAGGACAGGAAGGCAGGATGGTCACTGTACTCTCTCCGTCATCCTCTCCTGCTTGTGGCTCCTGTAACCCCTCTGATGCTGCTCTGCCTTGCTGTGTGACCCCAGAACATCACCCCCTTCTCTGAGCCTCCAGTCCTTGCTAGTGGAATGAAGGGCTGGGTGGGGTGAGCCCCTGTGGTCCTTTGCATTTTCTCATTCAGTTATGACAGCTCCACTGTAAGAGGTAGGTACCATTTTCAGCCCGGTAGTACAGATAAGGAAAATGAGGCACCGAGGGCTGAAGGCACCTGCCCCGGCCACAGCTAGGAAGTGGCAGAACAGGGATTGGACCCTGGCCTTTACAGGGTTCTAGACCCCTGTAGGTGGTGTCATCTCCATCTCACAACTGGCCCAAGGACATTCAGCCAGTGGCAGAGGCAGTACCCAAACTCAGCACCTCATGGTTGTATCTACATTGTAATAAATCCCCCCAAATCTAGAGTTCGGACAGAAACCTTAAGAAACAAGTGAGAATGTCGCTGCCAAGCCCTGTCAAAGTGAGTGGGACTTGGGCCTGTTTCCTCAAAGCCCCTTCCCAGGCATGGCCAACCAGTTCCTAGCGTGGCAGCAGATGCCAGGCCACACTGCGTGTTGTCACTCAATGGCGAGTCAACAGCGGGGCATTGACTGGGCTGACCCTAGCCCAGCCTAGCCTGGAGCCCCATCCTATCAGTGGAAGCCAGGGCCCATGCCTGGCTGGACCTTGACAAATCACCCTGGATGCTGGTGCAATTTATTTGCACGTGCTTAGGATGAGAGTCTGAAGCAGAGGCAGACAGGCACTTGATGGATTGGTTTTGTTAGGTCAGCCCGCACAAGTGAAAATCAATAGCAATCCCTCTGCCTGGCCAGCCCTCTTGGTGTATTTGAGATGCAGAGCAGATACGGGGGTGGTGTCCTCCCCCTGAGCTGCTGAATTAGCTGAGATCAGGCCCAGGGTCAGCCGTCCTGACAGGCAGCAGGAAGACTCTGTTTCCTCCTGGAGGCATTTGCCAGGGACCTCCCTAAACTCCTCAGGTCCAGTGCTTGTCCCTGGAGCAAGGCAAGGTGAGTTGGGAGTTCCCAGGATTTACTGGTCTTACCTGTTCCTGTTCACACGGCCCCTCTCACATTCTCTTAGTCATCTATACCTCCCACCCACCTGGACTGGTGTTCAGGCCTCATGTGAAAATCCTGGTTTAAAGTATTTGAGAAGGAGTCAGTTTTTCAAATTTTTCAGAATGTAGTGCCAGGTCAAACTTCATCTCCCTTGAGGATCTACTACTTTCTCATTTCAGATCTTGAAAGCACTCTTTCAGAGGTGCTTTGAAAACAGCTCAGGGGCCATCCAGAATGGTGTTCCTACGCCTACTGCCTCATCTCTCAGGGCCTCAGTTTTCCCATCTGTACAGTGATCCTGTTGGACCAGATGAAATCTTTCCACCTGGTGCCAGTTAAATCCTCTGAGGAGATCCCAAGGTTTAATTAACATTGGCAGCTGCTCCAGCCTGTGCAACATAGCAAGACCCGATCCCTCCAGAAAATAATAAATAAGGTGGGTATGGTGGTGCACACCTGTAGTCCCAGCTACGCAGGAGGCTGAGGCTGGAGGATCACTTGAGCCCGGGAGTTGGAGGGTGCACCCAGGAGTTGGAGGCTGCAGTGAGCTATAATCATGCCACTGCACTCCAGCCTGGGCAACGAGTGAGACCTTGTCTCTTTTTTTTTTTGAGACGGAGTCTTGCTCTGTCACCCAGGCTGGAGTGCACTGGCACGATCTCGGCTCACTGCAACCTCCGCCTCCCGGGTTCCAGTGATGCTCCTGCCTCAGCCTCCCGAGTAGCTGGGACTACAGGTGTGCACCACCGTGCCCGGCTAATTTTCGTATTTTTAGTAGAGACAGGGTTTCACCATGTTGGCCAGGCTAGTCTCAAACTCCTGACCTCGTGATCCACCCACCTCAGCCTCCCAAAGTGCTGGGATTATAAGCGTGAGCCACCGCACCCAGCCAGAGACCTTGTCTCTTAAAAGGAAAAAAAAAATTTGCAGCTGCAGAAGTGTTAGAAGCGAAGTGGGGCTAGAAATGCCTGCTGGGTCACTGCATCCCACCATCCCCACTGCTGCTTCTACACAGGTATTTTCTAAGTGCCTTCTCTAGGCCCTGGCAAAGAACACGACTATCACATTTGCCAGCAAGCTTTGAAGACCTTGCGTCTCCAAGAGGACTTAAGACTCCAGCGTCTTTGTTCCTAATCTGTGGGTGGCAATGTCATGGGCATGTGTGTTTGAACAGTGCTTCTGTGCCTCTGTGAGGTGGTGGGGCAGAGCCGGTCCTTGTTTACTAAAAGGGACCCGAGCCCCCACAGGGGTGGGAGGATGGGTTAGGCTTAAAGAGCCAGGTGCAGTCTGGAAGAAGAAAGGATTGGTGAGAACTTGCATGGCCCTGCCACACCAGGAGCTTGGGTAAAATCATACTGGGAGGGAAACAAAACAAAAAAAGTCAACACCCAAGAAATGCAGGGGGGTAACTCGACCACCTCTGTAAAGAAGAAAAAAAGCAAACAAAAGAAAAATGCAAGGGGGTGTTGTGTAGCCGTTTAAAATGATATCAACAGAGACTTGGTAGACTTGGTAGTGACATGGGAAACTAAATATTCAAGAATTTTTAAAAGTAGAATACATGATTGATGCACCATGATGGTGAAAATGTTAATTCTTTTTTTCATACAAACAAAGCAAGTCTGGAAGGGAATGTGCATAAATGAAAATAATAGAGGCCGGGCATGGTGGCTCACGCCTATAATCTCAGCACTTTGGGAGGCCGGGGCAAGTGGATCACCTGAAGTCAGGAGTTTGAGACCAGCCTGGCCAACATAACGAAACCCCGTCTCTACTAAAAATACAAAAATTAGCCGGGGGTGGTGGCACACACCTGTAATCCCAGCCACTCGGGAGGCTGAGGCAGGGGAATCACTTGAACCCAGGAGGCAGAGGTTGCAGTGAGCAGAGACTGCGCCATTGCACTCCAGCCTGGGTGACAGAGTGAGACTCCGTCTCAAAAAATAATAATAATAATTAAAATTAATTAAAAAAATAAAAATTAGCCAGGCATAGTGGTGCTCAGCTGTAGTCCCAGTCCTGACTATTCATGAGGTTGAGGCTAAGCCCAGGAGTTCGAGGCTGCAGTGAGCTATGATCAAGCCCCTGCACTTAGGCTTGGATGACAGAGCAAGGCCCTGTCTCTAAAAAAAAAGACAAAAAAAAAAAGGCAGGAGGGAAGGAGTTAAGGCCAGAAGGCAGGCCAGCCCACTGCCTAGTCAGTGGTTCAAAGCGCAGCTCTCAGTGTTTGCAGCTTGTTCTCAGAAATCAGGGACTGGGCGGTCAGCCCGGCTGGAAGGGAAAAGGAAGAGGAGGACAAGGGCATCCACTCACATATTCGCCAAAAATCGACTATGTGTCAGGCATGTGTGAGAAGAACCCAGACTCTGCCTTCTTGGAATTCACTGTACAAGAGGCATGTGGATATTATATAAGACATTTTGTAAAAATGATTAATAATTGTGCTAAATCCTAATACATGAATGAAGAAATGAGTGGGAAGAGAAATAAACAAGCAAAATCAACAGAAAGAGGCTGAGAGCAAAGAGAATTCCCAGAAGCAGAGAGAGAGAGAGATTAACTAGGCAGAGGCAATGGGGTTCACTGGGGCTCTGCCAGGAAGTGGCGGGGAGGCAGCCAGCAGGAAGAATGGAACAGGAGGATCCTTCTTGGAAGGAAATTGGCATTGACGAGGAAGAGGGGACTTAGAGGTGGGGAGGGGTGTTGGCACCCAGAGCATGTTTATGGGATGCCTAGAAAGAGCTGGGGAGGCACCCAGGCTCCAGGGGACCCACCTGGGGGAAGGCCAGTCCCCAGGGAGAGGAAGGGTGGAGCAGAGGCTCCCCAGAGCAGCTTGGCATCTGGCCTTCTCTAAATCTCTTGAGCGTGGGGCAGCAAGGCAGGGGCTTTGACTGTGGCCAGAGGCTGTTGCAATTCAGTAGTCAGAACTAGGGTTAAAAATTCATTCTGAGGGCTGGGTGCAGTGGCTCATGCCTGTAATCCTAGCACTTTGAAAGACGGAGGTGGGTGGATTGCTTGAGCCTGGGGGTTCAAGAACAGCTAGGGCAACATGGCGAAACCTCGTCTCTACAAAAAATAGAAAAATTAGCCAGGTGTGGTGGCATGCACCTGTAGCCCTAGCTACTCGGGAGCCTGAGGTGGGAGGATCACTTGAGCCTGGTGGGGTGGAGGCTGCAGTGAGCCCTGAGCATGCCACTGCACTCCAACCTGGGCAACAGAGCAAGACCCTGTCTCAAAAAAAAAAATCGTTCTTTCTAGAGGTTACCCTATGTGTGTATGGGGTGGGGGTGAGGATCCTCAAAACGAGCATGAAATTCTCACTTCACATCACACTGAAAATTCCCTTCCAACGATCGATAATCAGCAAGAGGATTTCATACAGACTGGCGGAATTCAGTACATCTTAAAGGGCATTTAGTCCAGATTTTCTCAACCTGTTTCAACCCCCAACCAGCCCCAATCTTAGGCTTTGGAATTCCAGACATCCCCCCTCCCCTGGGGGTGGGGAGCTTTGTCCTGCTTAAGACTCTGCTGGGGCCGGGTGTGGTGGCTCACACCTGTAATTCCAATACTTTGGGAGGCCGAGGTGGGCGGATCACCTGAGGTCAGGAGTTGGAGACCAGCCTGGCCAACATGGTGAAATCCCGTCTCTACTAAAAATACAAAAATTAGCTGGGCATGGTGGCACACATCTGTAGTCTCCAGCTACTTGGGAGGCCGAGGCACAAGAATCACTTGAACCCGGGAGGTGGAGGTTGCAGTGAGCCAAGATCATGCCACTGCACTCCAGCGTGGGCAACAGAGCAAGACTCTGTCTCAAAAAAAAGACTTTGCTGAGCTTCTGTGGCTCTCTTCCAGCCATGGAGGTTTCCTCCAGCTTTACTTACTGTGGTCTGAATTACAAAAATGACAGGTACTTAATTCTAGTTTTCTGAATATGAAATGATGACGGTGACGCTGCCTTTTCTAGCAACAGGAGTCCACTCTCAGCACTCTGACATGTCCCTTAAGTGCTCTGCCATCCTAAGGAGATTGTAATTATGGTTTTCTCCTCCTTAAAATGATTTTACGCAGAAGAGCCAGGTGGAAAAGGGGCCCCCAGTGAGAAAAGCACCAATGATTCCTATAAAGTTAGGAATTTGTCTTTCTTATTTTATTTTATTATTATTTTTAATAATACAGACAGGGTTTCACCATGTTGCCCAGGCTGGTTTTGAACTCCTGGGCTCAAGTGATCCTCCCGCCTTGACCTCCCAAAGTGCTGGGATTACAGGTGTGAGCCATTGCGCCCAGCCATCTCCCTTCTTTTAACCACCCTGCCAGAAACCCCTTTGCACACATCACCTGCTATTTCCGGGGGGCACAGTTCGAAGCATGGAATTCTGGGGTCCTAGGGCCATGAACAGTTATAGAGCGGCCCGTCACTCTGGGTTTTGGCTGGTAGTTCTCCCTGGTGGGACAGAATCGGGGGTGGCTTGAACTCCAAGGCTTTTGCCTCCATGGGTGACTTCTGTCGTGAAACAGCCTCTCCCCAGGCCCTTGTCTCTAGGGAAGGTTGGAAACTCCATATTTGAGCCCTTTGGATGGGAGTTTGTTTAGAAGAAAGTGAAGCTACTGGCCCCTTCACTCTGATGGGCTCCCCAGGTGCCCCATGACAGAGCCAATGTCCACAGCCCAGCCTTCAGGGTCAGAGGCCTTGCCACAGGACAGTGACAGTGACAGATGAGGACCAGCTTGATGACCTGTCAAACAGGAGGTGGCCTGTCACACCTGGAAAACCACACTCCCCTGCTTGAGAGAGGCCTACACAAAAAGGCATTTAACGCTCCCCAGGGTGTTAATTCAGAGTAAGACGTGATGGCCAGGTCAGACCTTTTCCCTGGGGGACCAGGGTCCCCTAAATGGCTGGTGGCCTATTTTGCTTTTGCCATTCAGAGCAGGGGCTAGGCTCTGGGGTCAGAACTGAGCTGGGCTCAGCCACTCCCTGGCTCTCTGACTTTGAGCAAGGTGGCCTCACCTTCCGAAGCCACAGTTGTCCTATCAATAAACTGGAGATGTTGGCAGGGTGGCTGGGATAAGGTGTGTACAGTCCCGGTCTGCCGTGAGACAAGCTAGTGAGCTCACAGGGACTTGCCCACAGGGACCGGGCTGGGAGAGGAGTGGCAGGTACTTCCAGCCAATGCTCCAGCTGGCTTTCTGTGCACCCCACACCCCACTCTCTTGGCAGAGCTGCCCTAATTCCTCCTGGGCCATCTCCCATGGGCTCTGGATGGCCTGGATACACAAGCTGGACACAGAAGACAGGCCTGGTAAGTGTGCAGTCGGTGTCCTGGGAGCCCAGAGGAGGTGCCCCACACAGCTTTGTAGGACTGGAAATTACCCTCAGTGAATCCTTGAAACAAAGCCAGGAAAATGGTTGATTAAAAGTCTTGTTTGGAAGTTCAGGCCGGGCACAGTGGCTCACGCCTGTAATCCCAGCATTTTGGGAGGCCAAGGCGGGTGGATCACCTGAGGTCAGGAGTTCGAGACAAGCCTGGCCAACATAGTGAAACCCTGTCTCTACTAAAAGTAAAAAATTAGCCGGGCATGGTGGCATGTGCCTATAGTCCCAGCTACTAGGGAGGTTGAAGCAAGAGAATTGCTTGAACCCGGGAGGTGGAGGTTACAGTGAGCCGAGATCGCACCACTGCACTCCAGCCTGGGCAACAGAATGAGACTCTGTCTCAAAAATAAAAATAAAAATAAAAAGGAAGTTCAGTCACTTGCTTTTGGCTGCAAAGTGGCTGAGTCAGAATTCAAACCCAGATTTGCAGCTTCCAAAGTCCATTCTCTCAGCCCCTATAGGCTTTCCTCCCCTATAGCTAGGCACTTGAACTGGAAGCTACAATACTCCACATGTGGTTAGCTCAGCACGAAAAAGAGGGCCTATCACCTCCTTTGTTCTAAATACCTTGCTTTTGCTGATATAGCCTGTAATTCAAGTCATTCTATTGGCAGAGGGGCAGGGGAAAGGGAAGAGAGTAGAAAGCTGGGCAGGGGAAAGGGAAGAGAGTAGGAAGCTGGGCAGGACATATTTCCCCAATCTCTGCTCTGCTGTAGCCTCTCCTGACTGCCAGTGGAGGGAAAGGATTCCCTGCAGAGGGCCCAATGGAAGGAGATGTTTCCATTAGGAAAGCTTGGTGAGCTAAGGAGATCAGGCATCGCATGGAGTTGCAGCCCCAGGGCAAGAGGTGGCCCTCCCTGTTTGGGGCCTGCACTGGAGGGAGACAGAAGCCTGCTGAGACAGCAAGGATGGAGGGAACTGAGAGGACTCTGTTCTCAGTGAAAGGTGCTGGGGAGAGATAAGGGATGCCCGAGGAAGATACACGGTTACTGGGGCTTAAAATAGTGTTGGAGGCATGGAAAATGAGATTGCCAAGGGACAAAAAGGAGAACACAGGAAAGCGATCAGGCCTCAGAGGGAGGGAAGGGATGCCGAGAACACGATTTTAAAGCAGCTGGGACAATGAGGGGGAGGCACTTGGCTGATTCAGCTGTACAGTCAGCCCCAAAGCGCTCAGCCTGCATTTTTGTGGATCAAATATGCTAATTAGGCACAGGTCCCTGAAGACTGTGTGGGGAGACCCATTCATTTACCCTCTGTAGCAACATAACAAATGACCCCTCCTAGACCTGTGCTAAGCACATCACAAGCACTCTCATATATTTTCCCAACCACCCTGTGACATGTCAGCATCATTATTCCATTTTTCAGATGAGGAAACTGAGGGTCAGAGAGGGGAAACAACCTGCCCAAGGACCCCCAGCCAAAGAGCAGCAGGGCTAGGATTCAAACTCAGGCATGTCCTGTCTCCCTAATCCATGCCCAGGCATAAGGTGATGGAGCAAAGGAAAGCCCAGCAAGGACCCTATTTGGTAGGTTTGTGAAGTGAGATTTGAGGTAGCCTGGGTCTTACATGTCAGGCTAGGGAATATGAACTTGATCTTGTTGTGGGCAGTGGGGAGCCATTGAAGGTGTTTAAGCAGGGGCATCAGTCTGGCCTTACAAGAGTGCAATGGAGGCTGGGTGCGGTGGCTTACGCCTGTAATCCCAGCACTTTGGGAGGCCGAGGTGGGTGGATCACCTGAGGTCAGGAGTTCGAGACCAGCCTGACCAACATGGTGAAACCCCATCGCTACCAAAAATACAAAATTAGCTGGGTGTGGTGGTGCATGCCTGTAATCCCAGGTACTTGGGAGGCTGAGGCAGGAGAATTGCTTGAACCCAGGAGGCAGAGTTTGCAGTGAGCTAAGATCGCGCCGTTGCACTCCAGCCTGGGCAACAAGAGTGAAACTCCATCTCAAAAAAAAAAAAAAAAAAAAAAAAGTGCAATGGAGAAGAAGGGTTCCAGCGCAATCAGGGAAGGTTCTGGATAAAAGTGTTTTGTTTTGTTTTGCTTTTTGAGACAGGGTGTCACTCTGCCACCCAGGCTGGAGGGCAGTGTTGTGACCTTGGTTCACTGCAACCTCCACCTCCCAAGCTCGAGTGATCCTCCCACCTCAGCTTCCTGAGTAGCTGGGACTGCAGGTGTGCACCACCACACCCAGCTAATTTTTGTATTTTTTGTAGAGATGGGGTTCCCCCATGTTTCCCAGGCTGGTCTCAAACTCCTGAGCTCAAGCGATCTGCCTGCCTCAGCCTCCCAAAGTGCTGGGATTACAGGTGTGAGCCACTGTGCCCAGTCTAGGCAGAAGTTTCAAAATGGGGATAGGCCAGGAGCAGCAAGAAGGCAGTCAGCACCAAGCAGCTGCCAGCCAACACTTTCGCTACACTCCATCATTGCTCTGTCCTTGATGCCTGCTGGAGTCTGCCCTTGGCATTCGGTCTATATATAAATTCAAGCATATCAGGCCAAGGCCCCAAAGAAAAGAGAAAAATGATTTTTTTTTTACATGGCACATAGTAATAAATATGAGCATAGCCAATGGTCCTGCATTTGGATCTCTGCTCTACTCTCACTAGCTGCGTTACCCTGGGCAAGACACTTAACCTCTCTGAGCCTCATTTTCCACTTGGAATGACAATCCAGTGACACAGGGTGCATGTGCGGCACCTGGCCCAGGCCTGCCCCCGAGTGAGTGCCCAGAGAAGGCACTATTTTTGTGTGTGTGATCTTCTGTGTGTGCTGGTTGCCTGCCCCACACAGTACAGAGTGTTCGTCCTTTGCTGTCACTCAAGCAGCTGCCACAACCTCCGTCTTGTGCAAGGAATTTGTATTCTCTCCAACTTTGCACATTGCTCAGGCATTGTAAATTCATTGATTTCTGTCCTTTCCCCAGAGGACTTCAAACTCATTTGTAGGACGGTCCTTGTTCCTTGTGTTTGGAAGGGCTGACTGAGTCATGGGGATGGAATCTATTTCTTTTTAATAACTTACATTGCTTCCCCCCTTAGTACAAAAGCAGTAACATGCTCGGTGTGGTTCACACAAATAAGCAAAGGAAAACTACTGATAATCCTGCCATGCGGAAATAATCACTGTTAAGATTTTAGTTCTTATCCTTACAGCATTTTTTTTTTAGAAAAAAAGAATACACATAATGGTTTTCTACAAATATGGGATCGTACTACACATGCTATTATCACCATTTATTCAGGTAATGAGATATTGTGAACATCTTTCTGTTTCTCATCTGCATCATGTCGAATGGCTTACTTGTCTTCTATTATACCATGCTTTAGTCGGGCAATTCCCTGTTTTTGTACATTGAGGTTCTTTCTAATTATTTGCCGTTAAGCTACAATGAAGAGTCTCCTGGCTAAATATTTGCCCACAATCATGATTATCTTCTCAGGATAAATTCTTAGAAATAGAATTGCTGGGTCAAGTTTTTTGACTGATGTTGTTGAATGGGTCTTCCCGCCAGCAGTGTTTGAAACGATCATTTCCCATATCTTGGCTCATGCCGGATATTATAATGATTAAAAAAAAAAAACTTTGTGAATTTAATAAGTAAAAGGACATCTAGTGATTTTTATTTTGCCAATCTGTTGTTACAGAGCTTCAAGAAGCAGATGCAGGTATAAAATGGGCCGGAGAAAGATGCAGAGGTAGGGAGGGGAGTGTGGTGGGTACCCATAGTCCCTTCAGTACGAAAGATTTACCACCTCAGATGCTGGACGTGCTGTTGGCCTCTTCAGGGATTGGCCAGGCTGAAGAGAACTGCCCTGCCCTGTCTGCCCACTTCCTAGGCAGCAGCCTCCAGCGAGTGATCAAAAGAGACTACAGTCTGGGTGCGGTGGCTCACGCCTGTAATCCCAGCACTTTGGGAGAACAAGGCAGGCAGATCACTTGAGTCCAGGAATTCAAGACCAGCCTGGGTAACATGGTGAAACCCCGTCTCTACCAAAAGAAAAAAAAAAAAACTCAAAAAGAAAAAGAGGCTATAAATGGCCCTGGTCACCCAGATCAGGACAGCTCTGAACGGCCATGCTTCAGAACTAACCAGGGTCAGCGGAAGCCTTTGTTGAAACTGCATCTATGGCCAGATGCAGTGGCTCACACCTGTAATCCCAGCACTTTGGGAGGCCGAGGCGGGTGGATCACAAGATCAGGAGTTTGAGACCAGCCTGGCCAACATAGTGAAACCCTGTCTCTACTAAAAATACCAAAACTAGCCAGACGTGGTGGTGGGAGCCTGTAGTCCCAGCTACTCGGGAGACTAAGGTGGGAAAATCACCTGAATCCAGGAGGCAGAGGTTACAGTGAGCCAAGATCATGCCATTGCACTCCAGCCTGGGTGACAGAGCAAGACTCCGTCTCAAAAACAACAACAAAAACAAAAACACAAAGAACACATCTACATCTTGGTCTGACTTCTTTTTTTTTTTTGAAATGGAGTCTCACTCTGTCGCCCAGGCAAGAGGGCAGTGGTGTGATGTCAGCTCACTGCAGCCTCTGCCTCCCAGGTTCAAGCAATTCTCCTGTCTCAGTTTCCCAAGTAGCTGGGATTACAGGTGCCCCCCCCCCCACCACCATGCCCAGCTAATTTTTCGTATTTTTAGTAGAGACGGGGTTTCACCATTTGGCCAGGCTGGTCTCAAACTCCTGACCTCAGATGATCCATCTGCCTCGGCCTCCCAAAGTGTTGGGATTACAGGGATGAGCCACCACGCCCAGCCAGTCTGACTTCTTCTGCTGGTCCTGTTTCTTTTCCTTGGTCTACACTAGCCCCCAGTGGAGTCCACTCCCCAGGGAACCCAGCCTGTGGTTAGGAAGCATCCTTGTGTCTACCTGGGACAAGCTCAACGTGTGCTTGGTGTACAAACCTAGAATGTTCTGAGAGCTGGGCCTTCCTTCTTTGGGCCACCATGACAACACAGAGGTAAAATGTTTTAAGCCCTGGCAGGCAGCCCTGGGGTGCCAGAAGCTTCTAGGGTACCCTCTGGCTGGGTTATTTAAGCAGTCAGCTGGGTGGAGATTTACTATACAGAGTTTACTTCCCTTGACACCCCTCCTAGATAACAACACCCTCAGAAACAACAAGAATTATGGCTGCCATTGTGCAGTATCATGGGGGTTATTTATTTTACAGATAAAGGAACTGGCTGAGAGAGGGTAAGTAACTTGTCTGAGTTCGCACAGCCGGTGAGTGGTGGGGCTTGAAGTCTAACCCAGGACTGTCCATTCTAAAATCAATGCTCTTGGCTGGCCACGGTGGCTCATGCAGGTAATCTCAGCACTTCGGGAGGCTAAGGTGGGTGGATTGCCTGGGCAACGTGGTGAAACCCCATCTCTATTAAAATACAAAAAATAATCTGGGCATGGTAGCACACACCTGTAATCCCAGCTACTTGGGAGGCTGAGGCACAAGAATCATTTGAACCCGGGAGGCAGAAGTTGCAGTGAGCCGAGACGGTGCCACTGCACTCCAGCCTAGGAGACTGAGTGAGACCCTGTCTCAAAAAAAAAAAAAAAAAAAAAAAAAGATAAAAGAAACAAAGCGCATGTAACGTTACTCTTCAAACCAGAGTCACTCTCCATAAATTATCAGTTTGATTTTCTTCATAGCCCTAACCTGAGCTGAAATTCTTTTTTTTTTTACTTTTTGTAGAGACAGGGTCTCATGTTGCCCAGGCTAGTCTCAAACTCCTAGGCTCAAGCGATCCTCCCGCCTTGGCCTCCCAAAGTGTTGGGATTACAGGCATGAGCCACTGCGCCCAGCTTAAGAGATATTTTTGAGCACAAGAGAGAAGCTAGGGAAATGACATTAACTCCAGTACTCTTAGGAGAGTGGTCCTGCTTGCTCAGAGTTATGTGGGATCAGAGACTTTCTGGAACTCACTTTCCAAGGTACCCAAGTATTTAACTTTTCCTAACACCTGTGCTGGGGAGCAAGTGGGAAGCCCTTGAGGCTTTCTGACTTTAAAGACTGTCCCAGCTTTTGCCTCCAGGAAATGCCTCAGGCTAAGCTTGGGAGGGAGGAGAACTGTTTTCTAGTTATAAACAGCTTCTTGGTGCCAATTGGAGGAGGGTGTTAATCCTACCTCTTCCCACCTGCATGGCAGTCCCATCCAGGGAGCTCTGGGGCGGGGGGGTGGGGAGGCAGCTCTCATTTGGCAGTGCCACCGAGGGACAAGTCCTCATTGGCATCTGAGGAGGGAGTCCTGGGCCACAAAGCAGAGGGGTTCCAGGCCTGGAGCCAGAGCTGGTGGCTCACGTTTCTTAGCTCTCTGTATTCACTCTCTATCTGGGAAACCCCCTTTTAATTTATGTACCCCACCTTATAAAAATAATACACGGTTGATGCAGAAAAGTTAGAAATCTAGAAAATACAATGGCAAAGAAAAATAACGGTGGGATACAGTGACTCATGCTTGTAATCCTAGCACTTTGGGAGGCCAAGGTAGAAGCATCACTTGAGGCCAGGAGTTCAAGACCAGCCTTGGCAACATAGCAAGACCCCCATCTCTTAAAAACAAACAAAAAATAGGCTGGATGGGCACGGTGGCTTATGCCTGTAATCCCAGCACTTTGGGAGGCCAAGGTGGGCAGATCACCTGAGATCAGGAGTTCGAGAACAGCCTGGCCAACATGGTGAAACCCGATCTCTACTACAAAATAAAAAAATTAGTCAGGCATGGTGGTGGGTGCCTGTAATCCCAGCTACTCGGGAGGCTGAGGCAGAACTGCTGGAACCCGGGAAGTGGAGGTTGCAGTGAGCCGAGATCACGCCACCGCACTCTAGCCTGGGTAACAGAGCAAGACTGGGCACAATGACTCACTCTTGTAATCTCAGCACTTTGGGAGGCTGAGGCAGGAGGATCACTTGAAGCCAGGAGTTCAAAACCAGCCTGGTCAACATAGTGAGACTCCATCTCTATAAAAGAAAAATTTTTAAATTAGCTGGGTGTGGTGGCAGGCAACTATAGTCCCAGCTACTGGAGAGGCTGAGGCAAGGAGATCCTTTGAGCCCAGGAGTTGGAGGCTGCAATGAGCCATGATTGTGCCATTATACTTTGGCCTGGGTAATAGAGTAAGACCCTGCCTCAAAAAAAAAAAAGACTTCTTAATAAAACTAACTTTAATTCTTTATGCATTTTTGTTTGTTTGTTTGTTTGTTTTCAGATGGTGTCTCGCTCTGTCACCCAGGCTGGAGTGCAGTGGCACGATCTCGGCTCACTGCAACCTCTGCCTCCCAGATTTAAGCGATTCTCCTGTCTCAGCCTCCTGAGTAGCTGGGACTACAGGCAGACACCACCACGCCCAGCTAATTTTTGTATTTTTAGTAGAGACAGGGTTTCACCATGTTGGCCAGGCTGGTCTCGAACTCCTGACCTCAAGTGATCCACCCGCCTCAGCCTCCCAAAGTGCTGGGATTACAGGCGTGAGCCACTGTGCCTGGCCCCTGCTTTATTGTTTACCAGAATGTTGCCCTCAAATAATTGGGAACAATTTAATATAAGTTGCAATCTTCAACCCCCAGAGTCATTCTCTATGTGATGCTGAAATCATTCATAAACATCTGAGACCAGGGATAGTGCCTCACGCCTATTTTCCTAGTGTTTTGGGAGGCCAAGGAGGGAGGATCACTGGAGGCCGGGAGTTTAAGAGCCTTCTGGGTAATGGCAAGACCACGTCTCTGCAAAAAATTAGCTGGGCACAATGGCACACACCTGTACTCCCAGCAACTCAGGAGGCCGAGGCAGGAGGAGCCCAGGAGTTCAAAGCTGCAGTGAGCTATTATGGCGTCTCAAAAACAAAAGTCTTAGAATAGCCTCCGCTTTGGTTCAGGGCTCCTTTTTTTTTTTTTTTTTTTTTCTCAAAAAAAAAAAAAAAAGCACACACACAGAAAAAACAAAAAAACTTCTGAATAAAACTAACTTTAATTTTTTATGCGTTTTTTGTTTGTTTGTTTTTGAGATGGGGTCTCGCTCTGTTGCCCAGGCTGGAGTGCAGTGGCACAATCTCAGCTCACTGCAACCTCTGACTCCCAGGTTAAAGCGATTCTCCTGCCTCAGCCTCCCGAGTAGCTGGGATTACAGGCATGAGCCATCACACCCGGCTAATTTTTGTATTTTTAGTAGAGACAGGGTTTTGCCATGTTGCCCAGGCTGGTCTCGAACTCCTGACCTCAAGTGATTCACCTGCCTTGGCCTCTCAAAGTGTTGGGATTACAGGCGTGAGCCACCACGTCTGACCGCGCCTGGCCTGGTTTAGGTCTTGATTTGACCCCCAGAGCTATACTATCTTCAGCAGGTCATGATTTTTCTAGGCTTCAACTTCGTCTTCACAAAGATACACCTCAGGTAGGAAAAACTGGACAATTTCTAGGGTCTCTCCTACCTCTCCATGGGTTTCCTGACCTGAATCTTCCTCCATCAGAGAAGATTCTGGATAATCCAGCTCTGGCTGAATCACATCAGGCTGTAGGTGAAAGATGGCAGACGGGTGAGTCATTTACCTTACTAGGCCAGGCAGCCACCCCAGCTACAAAACAACTGCTCTATGCCTGCTCAGGGCTTCCCAGTGTTCTCCTCTGGCACTCCCAGCCAGGAGGCACGGTTTCCAGCCAGGCTGCAAGGTCTCTAACAGCCATCAGCTCTAACCAGGAGCCAGGCATCAGCCTCCTAGCTAGGCTCTCTGCTTTTATTCCCACCCACTTCCAATCTAATTGCCCCACAGTTCCCAGAGTGAGGTTTTTATATGACAGAGCTTGTTGCTCCCTTGCTTAAGACATTTTCAGTAGTAGCTACTCATTCTAATTTTGGTAAAATCCAGATTCTTTTTTTTTTTTTTTTTTTTTTTTGAGATGGAGTCTCACTCTATCGCCCAGGCTAGAGTGCAGTGGTGAGACCTCAGCTCACTACAACCTCTGCCTCCCAGGTTCAAACGATTCTCCTGCCTCACCCTCCCAAGTAGCTGGGGTTATAGGTGCACGCCACCACGCCCCCGCTAATTTTTGTATTTTTAGTAGAGACAGGGGTTTCACCATGTTGGCCAGGCTGGTCTTGAACTCCTGACCTCAAGTGATCCACCCACCTCGGCCTCCCAAAGTGCTGGGATTGCAGGCATGAACCACTGTGCCCGGCCCAGATTCTTCACTATGACTTACCAGGTCCTGAATGATCTGGTCTCGTGTATTCTCCACCTTCAACCTCATCTACCTGGCCTGTGAGCTCCTGCAACACAGCAAGTGCTTTCCCCATATGGGCCCTAAAACCTGCTACTTCCCCTGCTTTGCCTCTAACGCCCAACGTAAGTGGCTCATCTTTATCACCTATCGGTCTCAGCTCTTCTGAGGCTTCCCTAGACCAGCTGTCACCCTGGTTAATCCCTCCCTCTCCTTGCACTGCTTCCCAGAGCCTTTGGCTCAGTCTGTAATAATACAGGATGGCTTTTAGTGTCTTCCCCATAGGAGTTTAAGCCCCACATGCTATATTACCATCATATGTCCTGCTAGCACAGTGCCTCACAGTGGCCAGCCAAACACTTGCTGAATGAATGACCAGACGTTTCTCCAACTCCTCCTCTTCACATTCCTACTGCTCCAGCCTTCCAGCAGAATCGTCTGGTTTTCTGAGTCCTTAGCCTCCATGTCTCTCTGCCAACAGTTTCTTCCATGTGCCAGCATCTGTGACTGTGCTAACTGCATTACAGCTCGTCTATTTTTTTTTTTTTTTTTGAGATGGAGTCTTGCTCTGTTGCCCAGGCTGGAGTGCAGTGATGCGATCTCTGCTCATTGCAACCTCCGCCTCCCGGGTTCACGCCGTTCTCCTGCCTCAGCCTCCCGAGTAGCTGGGACTACAGGCGCCCGCCACCACGCCCGGCTAATGTTTTTGTATTTTTAGTAGAAATGGGGTTTCACCGTGTTAGCCAGGATGGTCTCAATCTCCTGACCTCGTGATCCACCCACCTCGGCCTCACAAAGTGCTGGGATTACAGGCGTGAGCCACCACGCCCGGCCTACAGCTCCTCTATTTTTAAAAATTTAATTTAAAAACATTTTTGGCTGGGCATGGTGGCTCACGCCTGTAATCCCAACACTTTGGGAAGCCAAGGCAGGAGGATGTCTTGAGTCCAGGAGTTCGAGACCAGCCTGGGCAACATGGCAAAACCCTACCTCTACAAAAAATACAAAAAAACTAGTGGGGAGTGGTGGCGCACACCTGTAGTCCCAGCTACCTGGGAGGCTGAGGTGGGAGGATTGTTTGCACCCAGGTCGAGGCTGCATTGAGCTGAGATCAGGCCATAGCATTCCATTCTGGATGACAGAGCAAGACAGTCTTGCTGTCTCCCAGGCTGGAGTGTAGTGGCGCAATCTCGGCTCACTGTAACCTCCACTTCCCGAGTTCAAGCAATTCTCCTGCCTCAGCCTCCCGAGTAGCTGGGATTACAAGCATATGCCACCACACTCGGCTAATTTTTGTATTTTTAGTAGAGATGGGGTTTCACCATGTTGGCCAGGCTGGTCTTGAGCTCCTGACCTTAAGTGATCCGCCTGCCTTGGCCTCCCAAAGTGCTGGGATTACAGGTGTGAGACACTATGCCCAGCCAAAAATTTTTAGAGACAGGGTCTCACTCTCCCCCAGGCAGGAGTGCAGTGGCACAATCATAACTCACTGTAACCTTAACTTCTTGGCTCAAGTAATCCTCCCACCTCAGCCTCCCAAGTAGCTGGGATTATAGGCTGGTGCCACCATGCTCAGGTAATTTTAAATTTTTTTGTAGAGGCAGGGTATCTCACTATGTTGCTTAGACTGGTCTTAAACTGTTGGCCTCAAGCAATCCTCCCACCTCAGCCTCCTAAAGTGCTGGGATTACAGGCCTGCAACTCCTTTAATACTCCCAAAAATCCCACACAGTATGTTCTACTACCCCATTTTACAGATAAGGAAACCGGAGTTCAGCAAGTTCAAGTGCCTTGCCCTTGTGTATTAGTCCATTTTCACGCTGCTGATAAAGACATACCCGAGACTGGGTAATTTATAAAAAGAGGTTTAATGCATTCGCATTTCCACATGGCTGAGGAGGCCTCACAATCATGGTGGAAGGCGAAAGGCCCGTCTTACATGGCAGCAGGCAAGAGAATCAGAGCCAAGCAAAAGGGGAAACCCCTTATAAAATCATCAGATCTCGTGAGACTTATTCACTATCACGAGAACAGTGTGGGGGAACCGCTCCCATGATTCAATTATCTCCCACCGAGTCCCTCCCACAACACATGGGCACTATGGGAGCTACAATTCAAAACGAGATTTGGGTGGGGACACAGCCAAACCATATCACCTTGGTTCCCATAGCTAGAATCAGTGGAGTAAGGATTCAAACCCACCAACTAAGCACTTTTATGAACTGAACTCATCAGAGTGGAACTGTGGCAGGAGGCTGTGACCCAGAGAGGTATGACTGCTTACCAAAAGATACTCAGTAATAGGCAGAATACACCAAGCTTGTCCAACCCGTGGCCTGCAGGCTGCACGCAGCCCAGGATGGCTTTGAATGAGGCCCAAACACAAATTCTTCAACTTTATTAAAACATTATGAGATTTTTGCACAAACCATTGTTTTTTGTTTTAGCTCATCAGCTATGGTTACTGTATTTTATGTGTGGCCCAAGACAATTCTTCCAACATGGCCCAGGGAAGCCAAAGGATTGGATACCCCTGAACTATACCCTAGGGTGGGGAGTGGCTAAGACCCCTAGGCCAGGGTCTTTCCCCCAGCTGAGGCCATAGTGCTTCCCCATGGCCAAGACA